>NC_000009.12:36070606-36222121 GCF_000001405.40 Homo sapiens | reverse complement strand
AACATCCTTCATGTAACCCCCTCAGCACTAGGATAGTTCCTAGTTAGTTAAGATGAAAGCAGGCCCTTTGAGGTGGTCCTCCAGGGAGGTGACAGGCAGGTCAAAACAAACAACCACAATTTTTTGAAAATAAGTTCGTCCTGCCCCGTCAGGTACTGGTATCCAGTACTGTTTCTGTACACCAGTACTGGGAGTGTGGACTGTTGTTCAAGGTCACCACCAAGCTGGAGAGTGGGTGATGGGACCAGGGTAGGTTACAACACCAGAAAGTTCTCTTATCAAGATTCAGCTGGTTTTGTTTTGTTTTTAGACAGGGTCTCACCATGTTGCCCAGGCTGGTCTTAAACTGCTGGGCTCGAGGGATCCTCCTGCCTTGGTCTCCCAAAGTGCTGGGATTACAGGCATGACCCACTGCACCTGGCCCTGGTTTTTGTTTTTCTTTTTTAAATTAAGCATTCCTCTGTTTGTTGCAAACTTTGGTTAGTTTCCAGAGTTCCAAAAAGGTTGATTCTGACATTTTTACCAGTTTTTTCCTCACTTTAGTGGCAGAATGGACCTTTGGAGTTCCCTGCTCTGTCATTTTTTTATGACATCCCAATTTGTTACTTTTGTTTTTTTACTCTATTTTATTTTTGTTGTATATATTTTAAGTGTATAACTTGATTTTTAAATGAGGAAACAGACTTAGCTAATAAGCGGTTAAGCCAGCATCTGATACAGATATGTCTAACTTCAAAACTTGTATGTGCTTAAACTCTACATTACACCACTATCCCTTTAAGCTCATGTACTTATTTATTTATTTATTTAAAGAGTGAGTCTCACTCTGTCACCCAGGCTGGAGTGCAGTCGCACAATCTCAGCTCACTGCCTCCCAGATTCAAGTGATTCCCCTGCCTCAGCCTCCCAAATGGCTGAGATTACAGGAATGTGCCACCACACCCGGCTAATTTCTGTATTTTTAGTAGAGACAAGGTTTCACCACGTTGGTCAGGCTGGTCTTGAACTTCTGGCTTCAGGTGATCTGCCCGCCTCAGCCTCCCAAAGTGCTGGGATTACAGGGGTGAGCCACCACACCCAGCCTAAGCTCATGTACTTTAGCTCATGCTCATCCTCTTTTAGTTCCAGACACAGTTTTAGCAAACTTGGATACCATTTCCTGGCTCAGAGCAGTGACTAAGCTGTAAATCAGAGGGCTAGGGGTTGAGGAATAAGTGCCCAAGAAGTGACAGATGGCAAGACAACCCTTAAAAGCAGAGCCTTCTCAGGCACAATACCCTTTACTCCTTTGTAACTGCTAAACGCCATAACAAAAGACAGTCACTGATATTTATAATTATTGAATCACAGATTTTTAGACATGGCAGCATCAAAAAAGGCAAAATCATTATTTCATATTTTCTGCTTCAGGAAGCAGGTAGTGTGTGATACATTTTAAAAGACTTATCTTGGGTATTCCTCAGAGCAGAGCCTGAGACAAGGATTTAGGTACAGGTATGGTTTTTTGGAGGTGACCACAAGAAGCAGGAGGGTGAGTGGGAAGAATGAAACAGAGCAGGAAGAAAGCCATTAAGGATATATTAACATTATTGAAGTTGACTTGAGGGCAAAGGGGGCTGAACTCCACTAGCACCTCCTAAGAAGCCTGCAGAACAGCATCCAGAATTGTCCTGTGGATCTGCCGGCTCCTGCCTTGCCTCGGTTGCAGGTTGCCCCTGGGTGCTGTGCCTGCGTGGCTGAGTAGGCTCTTGCTTCAGTGTTAGAGAAAGCCTTGGTGCAGAAAGATGGACAGTGTGTGCTGGGCCAGGGGGTCTGCTACCCACAAGGTGGGCATGCATTTTTGCTGCACTGTCCCCACAGCTGTGTTTGAAATCACAGTGACCCAAGCAGATGGGTCACAGGGCATCAGAGGATCTGCTAAAAACATTTCCATCCAAAATGCTGCCAGAGAATGCTTTGATGCCTAGTGGGCTTCAGCTGTCTAAAGAAGTATCTATAGACCCTCACATGCCAAAGCTCTGCTAAATAGATGAGGCGTTGTGATATCATAGTTTTCTGTTTCAGGTAAAGCACCCTCAGTGATTTCTATCCCTCGCTGTAGGAATCGGTGGTGGAATTATCCATCAGCATGAATTGATCCACGGAAGCTCCTTCTGTGCTGCAGAACTGGGCCACCTTGTTGTGTCTCTGGATGGGCCTGATTGTTCCTGTGGAAGCCATGGGTGCATTGAAGCATACGCCTCTGGAATGGCCTTGCAGAGGGAGGCAAAAAAGCTCCATGATGGTTGGTGTCCCTCTCTCGAGGAATTAAGTAACCAAATAGTAGACAAGTACTTCAAAGTGGAAATTCCAAAGACAGCTGAACACTGAAGCCAGAAGTTTCCCCCTTTTCACTTCTTAGGGAAAGAGCAGGGCTCCCTCGCACTAAAACTGCACAGTCTTCTTGGCTGACCCATATTGCCACTCTTCCTCCCCAGGGGTGGTGGTGGACAGAGGTCTAGAGTTCCAAGACAGCAGGGAAGATTTCCTTCAGTTTTGTTTTCTCAGCCAGTATCACAGGGAGGGTACTTAATACACATTTTAATGAAGAAATAAATGGACAAAACATGTTATGTATATATCACACATACATGCACTGTATGTGTAGTATATCTGTGCTTCATACATAAAAACAGTGTAGATTTTTGGCCCCCAAAACCAATTTGTGAGCATATGCTGAAGGAAAAGAGATGGGGAGTGGAGGCCGAGAGTGCAGGAGAGAAGTGTATAGAGCCCTACAGTAGGGTTCTGAAGAGGTGGGAAGAGATGAGCTGCAAAGCCAGGCAGAGGGTCCACGAGAGGGCATGGCGAGCCGAGATGATGGGTGTATGGGACAGGAAGCAAAAAGGTAGGGGATCACTGCCTGGTGGTGCCCCCTATGAGAGAGGTAAGAAGTATGCTCGTCTGTTGGCAGTGGGGGTAGAAGGACTGGGAAGGTGGTGAAGGTATAGAAAAGCGCAGTCAGAGAGAATGGGTGAGAGCTGTGAGGGCCCAGGGGAGACAGGAGACCACCAGTTGATGTCTAGGTTGCAGTTTGCACAGCTGGGGATTTTTCTCCTTCAGGGTCCAGATATTCTAGCAGATTAGTAGGAGGCAGATTGATCTGAGTTGGTGACGGGCAGAAGACAAGGACTACAGATAACCACAGAAATACCTGCTGCTTACTGAGCATTTACTGTGGCCAGCACTTAACTAAATACTTTATGTCCATGATCTCATTCCGTTCCTCAAATAACCCTGCCAGGGGAGGCACTACTGGTCTCATCTTCTAGGAAGGAGGAATGTGTACAGGTGAGGTGACAGGCATGGGGTCATGCAGCTGGGAGTGGCAGAGCTGGCACTGACCCCAGGCCTGTGTCTGTTCCTCAGCCACTGTGCCTCGCTGCCATAGAACGCGTGGCGCTGGCAGATGGCACAGCATTGTGTCTGGGATGAGTAAGGAAGGAGTGAATGTGGGAGGAGGGTGATAATTTGGAGAAAAGAACACTTCAAAGACTGTCTGCTACTGGAAGTGAGAAGTGAGGGAGCCAGAGGGGTAGGAGGCTGTCGTCAGACTTGAGGTTTTTCCAGGAAGATAGGTTCTGGGTTATGTACAACCAATTAGCAAGAGGGTAGCAAAGGCTTTAGGGGCAGTGTATAGAGATGTTTGTGAACGATAAGCTTTGCAATTGTGAAAAGAAAACACCGTCTTCCCATGTAGGGGCTTGCTTTCCACAGGCCCAGTGGTGAGCTTGGCCTCCCCACAGCTCATTAGTGACTGCTTTTCCTTCTCACTCTGTTCAGAGGACCTGCTCTTGGTGGAAGGGATGTCAGTGCCAAAAGATGAGGCTGTGGGTGCGCTCCATCTCATCCAAGCTGCGAAACTTGGCAATGCGAAGGCCCAGAGCATCCTAAGAACAGGTGAGCATGTGGCTGCAGGTGGCTGTGCTGCAGGGGGTGGCCTCAGATATCATATGGCCCAGCCCGGCCCCAGAAGAGACCCTGCTTCCCTAGGGACAGGTGCTTTGCAGTGTCTGTTCAGAGGTTTCTTTCCTAATTACTCAGAGGTAAAAAGGGAATTGGATTCAAGGTATTTGGCAGCATTGCCTTTTTCAGCAGGTGGTTGGTTTGGTTTGACAACTATAAAAATGCTCCTTTCATTTTACAGGAAATTTAGAGAAATATAGGACAGTTGTAAGAAAAAATATCACTTAGTTTTCCCATTTGGAGGTATCAACTATTAACATTTCCTTCGAGTCTTTCTATTCATTTTTTTGCCTAGTGGAGATCATGTGGTACACCCGGCTTTTTCCACTTGAGGCTGTCACATGATCATTTTCTCATATTAAGAATCAACCGTGAACTGCTTTTAAAACACTGCCTCCCACTGCATGCCGTGGATGTTCTTTAACATTTCTGCTGCTGGCTCTTTTCTGCCTTCCTCTTTGGTATTTTGATTTTGGCTTCTCTCAGAAACTCATTTTAATTTTTGTCTCCCTATAGCTGGAACAGCTTTGGGTCTTGGGGTTGTGAACATCCTCCATACCATGAATCCCTCCCTTGTGATCCTCTCCGGAGTCCTGGCCAGTCACTATATCCACATTGTCAAAGACGTCATTCGCCAGCAGGCCTTGTCCTCCGTGCAGGACGTGGATGTGGTGGTTTCGGATTTGGTTGACCCCGCCCTGCTGGGTGCTGCCAGCATGGTTCTGGACTACACAACACGCAGGATCTACTAGACCTCCAGGAACAGACATGGACCTTCTCTCCAGAGCTCCTGAGTGGAATCAAGTTCTTGTCTTTAGGATGACCGTTTCTTAACAATCAAATCTGGTATTGAACTGCAGGTGACTTTGGCAGAGAAATGTTTTCACTTTTGGTCTCCTCTTCCAGAGTCACCTTTCCCCACTCCTATTTTTGTAGATGCTATTCTTTCTGATGTCTTCTTACTAGGGGTCATTTTAGCTCAAACCCTGTAAGTTACAGTCACAATTTTCTGTGCCAAAGCAGCTACAATAATAGAGAGGAAGCCTTCTTAGAACTCTGCTTACTAATGTATTAATACCACTGAGACCTTCAGGCCTTGCCTGGGATATCACTTCATCCTGAAGTTTGCATTAATAATCCTTCCAGGCCGGGCACAGTGGCTCACGCCTGTAATCCCAGCACTTTGGGAGGCCGAGGCGGGCGGATCACGAGGTCAGGAGATCGAGACCGCCCTGGCTAACATGGTGAAACATGGTGAAACCCCGTCTCTACTAAAAATACAAAAAATTAGCTGGGTGTGGTGGCGGGTCCCAGCTACTCGGGAGGCTGAGGCAGGAGAATGGCATGAACCAGGGAGGCGGAGCTGGCAGTGAACTGAGACCGCACCACTGCACTCCAGCCTGGGTGACAGAGCAAGACTCCATCTCAAAAATAATAATAATAAATAATAATAATAATAATAATAATAATAATAATCCTTCCAGCTGGGCGCAGTGGCTCACGCCTGTAATCCCAACATTTTGGGAGGCCGAGATGGGCGGATCACCTGAGGTCAGGAGTTCAAGACCAGCCTGGCCAACATGGTGAAACCCCATCTCTACTAAAATACAAAAATTAGCCGGGCGTGGTGGCATGTGCCTGTAGTCCCAGCTACTCGGGAGGCTGAGGCAGGAGAATTGCTTGAACCCGGGAGGCGGAGGTTGCAGTGAGCCGAGATCATGCCACTGCACTCCACCCTGGGTGACAGAGCGAGACTCCGTCTACACACACACACACACACACACACACATCCTTCCTCCTCTAACCCCAAACTAAGATCACAGAAGGTGATCCAGTCAGAGAACAGAGGGAAATCTTACCAGGAAGGGCTTAAGTACACTTTTTTTTAAAACAGCTTTATTGTTTTTAAAGCCTACAATTTGATAAGCCTTGACATATGTATACCTGTGAAAGCATCACCACAATCAAGACACTGGACATATCTATCACTCCCCCATCTCAGATATCCCCCCTAATCCTGGATACCATTTGTTGAAAGATGTTATTACTCTAGCTGAACTTACAAGAGACTTTAGACCAGGGATCTAAATTACAGTGGCCTTAGTGACCTTGTCCTTATCTTCTTAGGACAGCTGAGAAGCCACTGGGACTTAGAGCCTTTAAAAGGAGATTAACTGTCCCAAAAGGATCTTTGCTACTGACCAGCAGACACTTCTTCCTTCAGTAGCCTTTCATACTGTGTTGAGTAACACCCTAGGGTGTCCATTAAAGTTTTGAGTTTTACCTAGAGCCCAGAGCCATGAATCAGGATTCTGTCTACATGATTCGTGTTTTCATTGGTGTCAAAATACAAAAGCCAAAGTTCTGGCTATGAATTGTTAACTTGGAAGAAATACTAACTGCCACCACTTATTAAGTGCCTACTGTGTGCCAGGCTCTGAACTAGGTGCTTCATATACATTATCCTAAATTATCTCAACATATGAGGTAGGTGTTTTAATTTTTATTTTATAGAACTTGGTGTGTTTGACTGTTAAGCTATGGGGCTAGAGAGAGGGTTTGATCCCAGGTCCCTCTGTGCTTTTGCTGCTGAGCCACACAACCTCTCATTTCAAAAACACTTTCAAAATGCTAACATATTCTAATTCACTCTAGGCCACCAAAAACTTTAATACTAATATCTGATTTGTAAATGACTTAATGTATCCTTGACCCTATCAGCTGAATTTAATGAAATATTCCTCTCTGCTGTGAAATTTTACCAGTATAGTATTTGGTCTAGTGACAGGTGTTCTATTTTTTTGAGACGGGTCTCACTCTGTCACCCAGGCTGGAGTGCAGTGGCTCAATGCAACCTCTGCCCCCCAAGTTCAAGTGATTCTCCTGCCTCAGCCTCTTGAGTAGCTGGGATTACAGGCACATGCACCACGCCCGGCTGATTTTTTTTTGTATTTTTAGTAGACAGGGTTTCACCATGTTGGCCAGGCTGGTCTTGAACTCCTGACCTCAGGTGATCCGCCCGCCTCTGCCTCCCAAAGTGCTGGGATTACAGGTGTAAGCCATCACACCTGGCCCTAGTGACAGGTTTTTATGGGTACTTTTAGATGATCTAAGAAATCATGTGCATATATCTTTCAGATTTCTATTTTGGGAAAATGAAGGTTTCTACAACATATTGTTTCAGTGTTCAAATAAACTGAAGGACTCAACATTACATTTGAACTATATCCTTCCTAGTGGGTTAGTGTGAAAAAGAGTTTGGCTGATTCCTAAAACTCTGCCAGCCCTGCAGTAATCTCCAGGGCCTGGTTATTGTTCAGACATTCCATGGTGATTCCTGGGAAGGAAGCTTGGCTGCTCAGTTTCTGAGTCTGGGGTGAGATAATGTTCTGGGAAGGGACATCTGTTCTTTGGTGTAATCTCTCATGGTGAAATCTGCTCTGTACATCAGACAATTGCATTGCTACCAAGTTTCATACCAAATATTTGAAAGGATGGTATTGAATCTAAAACCAAATATTAGTTTTTATTAAACTCATGGGAAGGCTAATATATTCCAACGTAAATTATTACATATGGTTAAGTAATTGCATGTTAATTTATTTTAATGTAAATATTTTTGTTACTGTTCTGAGCCAAATTCTAAAGAAAAAATAAATACATTTCCTTGTTGAAATCCTGTTGTATTTTGTTTTGTTCGTAACTCATTAGCCAAAAGCATTTTCCTTCCCAGAAGAGATTTAATTGTTGCACTGCTTACGTTTTGAAGGTTATATAACTTCCTTAAGGCCTCTAATATCATTGCTTTCTTAACCAAAAAAAGTCTATTAATAGAAAGCATGGCTGGGCATGGTGCCTCATGCCTGTAATCCCAGCACTTTGGGAGGCTGAGGCAGAAAGATTGCTTGAACCCTAGAGTTCGAGACCAGCCTGGGCAACATGCCAAAACCCCATCTCTACAAAACAATACAAAAAAAATTAGCCAGGCATGGTGCAGTCTCAGCTACTCAGGAGGCTGAGGTGGGAGGATCACCTGAGCCCGGGAAGTGGAGGCTGCAGTAAGTTAGTTATGATCATGCCATTGCACTCTAGCCTGGGCGACACAGTGAGACCCTGTCTCAAAAACAACAAAAACAAAACATTGCTATATATAACATTGAAAATTTGGCATAAAAAAGCAAAGTAGCCCCCAAGAAAGAGGTTTGAAACTAAGTGTTAAGCATTTACTGAGTCCCTAGACCCACTCCCTCTTTTTATGAGGCCCTATGTGGGTCTCATACAGGCATTAGAAACAATCCCAAATTACTATTGCTGTGTAACCTCAAAACTGAAGAGCTTAAAACAACAGTAATTGTTTCACGTCGTGGTTTCTGTGGGTCAGGATTTGGGAAAGGCTCAAACTTGACAGTTGTAGCTCAAGAGTATCCTGCACTTGTAGTTGTCAGCTGGAATAGCACGAGGCTGGCTGGCCAGGCATCTCCCAATGTGTGTGGTTACAGGGTCTCTCAGGTGGCCTCTCTGTGGGCTAGTTTGGGCTTCCTCACCACATGGGTAGCTTCAAAGGTAGAATTTTTTATGAGGCGGCTCAGGGCCACCAGCTAGTTGCTCCAACAAATCAACCATCAGCAGCACTGCCTTTTATGACCTAGCCTTGGAAGTCATCCCAGCATCACTTTTGTCACATTATTCAGTCACCTCTCCATCTAGAGAATGTCACAGATTTTGTTGACATTTAAAATTGCCACCTCCCACCTCAAGAAGCCCAGCTGGTGTGGGAGGCAAGACTGGTCCAGACGATGGCACCAAGACTACCAAAAATAAGCTGCCCCAGGTAGATGGCCATGGGAGTTCAGGGGAAGGGGGGTGGCCTTTGAACTAGTTCTTAAATTGGATTTTGACATTTGGAATGGGATTAGCAGGTCCCGTAGGAACAAAAGTCTGGGAACAATGATTGCTTGATTGTAATAAGATTTGACTAAAGGGGGAGGAATAAGCAGAGGCCAGAAATGTGGGCCAGGTCAAGGAAAGCCCAACTAAGCTTGGAAACGGGGAGGTAGCAGGAAAAGTAATGAAAGCTCCTTCCAGCCAAAAATAATTAACATTGAAGAGATAGTGGCCTTTCCTTCTTGGCAATGGCAACACCTAACCCCCATCCTGAGCATAGTATTACAGTTTACCTCAATCTCCAGTTTGGAAGTACCAGGTAGTTATAAGCAGATTACTGAAATATAGCTTTAATAATTGCTTGGAACATCACCTAAAACGAGCCAGGTACTATGCCAGGTTCTGAAGACAGATAATGAACTTACTGGTGTCTGAACAAAGCACGGGCTCCTGGAAACACCTGTGGTAGATCAGCATGGTCCAGTGCAGCTTTCTGCGACCATGGACATGTTCTATAACCTGTGCTATCCGAGTGCCACCTAACCACATATGGCTACTGAGCACATGAATTGTGACTAGGACTAGAAATGTATTTTAAATTCATTTAAATAGCCACATGGGCCTGGTGAATACTGCACTGGACAGCACAGGTCTAGATGAAGGATTTTACAAGAGAAATATGAACCAAGTGCTTGGGATGGCACAGAACCCAACATGTGCTACAGGACTCAACAGTAATGGGGCTAGCCACACATGAATGCCGTCCTGACTCAGGCTTACTGGCCGGATCCAAAGGAGTCAAGGTCTTACTAGAGTCTACGTGCCCCACAGACTCCTGCCGAAATATACTATCCAAGACCCTAAACTGAGGGACACTGGCAAGCAAGAGCCCATCTGGGAGAAAACGACTAGGTTGGTGAGAGGATTCACAGCTGTGTCTTAGGTAGATAATGAGGGGGTTAACCTTCAGCCACTAAACTCCCTTCTCAAATGAAAATGTCCACAGGATCCCACTCTAGATCCCGGTGCTATCTTAGTTCAAGGCAGGGCTGTGTGCCCAGTGGCTGTGCCTCCTCAGCCCTAGAAATTTCAAGGAAATTCCTCCTGGAAATTCCTTCCAACCTCACTCCAAACTACAACACATCTTGAGGTCAATAAAGAAGCTTCACATAATACAGTTTGAAACAGAAATTTATTCTCAGAATAATGCACAGAAGCACAGGTTGAGGCTACTCTTGGGAAGCTTCCCTCCCCTTCCTCTTCCTCCTCTCCCTCCTCTCTGAATGCCAGGGAGAACACAGTTGAAGGAAGGAAACATGCAATCACAAACAATGAACAACTCTAAAGACAAAAAGGTTTGGTCCAAAAGAACTCAACATAATTAATCCAATGACTGTGAAGAGCTTCACTGAGTAGGATTAAGATATTGCAGATGTAGTGTTTCCACAGGGTGGCTCTTCAGTGCACCAGCGGGGCCTGCTTGAGGGAGATGAGGACTGAGCGCATGCGGGAGACATCTTTGGCCTGCTTGCTAGACTTGGGGTTAAAGTCACACAGCCGGGCCACCCGTTCCCACTCAGTGCCTGGGGACGACTCGTCAATGTCATTTACAAAGGCTTCTTCTGCTGCCCTGGAAGCAACAACAAAATATGTTGGTTTATGCAGAACCCCCTTTGAGCAACCTGGTGGCTGCCTTGCTACACAAGCAACTGCCTATTTGTCCCTTTCTTAATGACATTCTGGCTTTCCCAAGATAACAGCCCCTGGCCCAGGTCAGACTCAGGTAGACACGTAGCTGGCTCTCCTAGGCACAGGGTGCCCAGACCGCTGTGTAAAATGTTGGAATACAGGTGTTTGGTTCAAGGCTCACTATGTCTCTCTGTCTGTCTCTGCTCCTGTGGAGCATTAATAAAACAAGTCCTTAGCCAGCTACACACTGCTTTTATTAATAAGAACAAAGCAGCAGGCTGATCAAGAACTTGAGTAGTTTATGCTGGGCTGTACTGAATTTCAAGGAAATTTAGAGACTTCTAAAAAGCCCACAGATCATTGCACAATAGCCTCTAGATTTATTCCTAAGGCTGGAGAGAAACGGGGCAGATCAAAAGGAATTCAAGACAAAGCTCCCATGCTAGCAAGCACTAGAGACTAAAGCCATTCTGGAAGGGGGTTTGTTAGGACATTCTCCAGTTCAGCCAAAAGTTTGCCATTTTCCCTCCAGCCAGGTGCCTTGGGGCCACTCAGGGCACACTGGCAGGAGAGCCAACGTGAGTTGCTTTTTGGCAGGATGCTGCTCCAACATTCTTTCACATCAAGGTCAGCCCACCCCCAGTTCGGAATTAACTGGTGGGAGCTACAGCCGGAAAGGACAGCGCTAAGACACACTATATTCATCTACTCCAACAAGCATCACGGGCAAAGCAAAAGCAATGGAGATGACTGGTCTGTGGGGACGGAGGGGTGGCACTATCACAGGGATGGCCGTGGCAAACACCGCTGAAGCCCAGAGCCACTACAACACTGCGACTTCATGGCACACACAGTTAGGGGCAGTGAGAAAGGTTTACTTAACTGTTCTAGGCTGTAGCAAGGATGGTTTATGTTTGTGCTTAAAGGTGAAGAGAAGAAAAGAAACGAGAGAAACTTTAAGTCAGATATAGAAAATGAGAATGAGCTCAATGCAGATGGTCAGTAAGCTGGACATGCCCTTGCCACTCTATCTGTGCTTGGGGACGTGCAGCTGGCTTTGCTGGCCACCCAGCTGCCCAGCAAAACCAGACTCGACCTTTCCAGTCTCCATTTCTACTCCAGAGAGAATGTGCAGAAATCAAATCAAACACCACCTGTAAGTCCAGCATTTCACAAGTCTCACTGCAAATGCATCTGGGGGCCCAGGAAACCCAGTTCTATCTTCTAAGGGGATGAACATCTCAAGGTCATAGGCCCTGAGAGGCTCTACAGACCTGAGCTCATCGCCCACCTTCCACAGGTTCCTCTCCTCTTCCATTCCACCCTTACTTCTCATGTAAAGCCAGCCCTAATTTTTAAGGAGGAGACAATGAGAACTGTTTCCAACTCTTCAGCAATACTGCTTTGATAAAAGAAATCCTTAAAAAAAAGAAAAAAGAAAAAAAGAAAAAAAAAAGAATAAGAAAAACACCTTCTCCAGAGAAGATGCAGGTTTCTTTTGGGGGGGTCAGGGGGAGAAGCCCAAGTGGCCCGTATCAAGACACTTTGACTATCCTGATCTCAAAGCTGGGGGCTTCCCTGTGCTAGGAGACAGGACATCAGAAGCTGACCACTAAATAGCAATTTCTGACATGCAAGACCACAGAGGAACAATTATAGACACCCACTGGAGACAACCCCCTCTGCTCTGGACTCTTCTGCCTGAGGGAGAGGCAAACGACCCCACATTGTTTGAATGAACCAAGTATGGAAAATGCTGCCCCACAGCTCTGATTTTGGCAATGCAAGGTGCTGCTGCTCACTGGCTCCTAACCTCCTGGGACTGCCACCTGCTCCCAGGTGGGGAAACCTCCTTCCCACCTGAGGCAGGCAGGCAACAGGGCATGGCAGCAGTGATGGCAGCCAAGAGCAAGAGAGCAGAGTTCCCCCGAGCCTCAAACCGTTCCCAGATAAGATCGCAAATGACACATTTTGAAAGCGAGTTAGCTTTCTTCCCTCCAAAACCCCAAATATGAAAAATGGCCATCAGAGGATGCAGGGAGTCACAAATCTGGAAGATTCATCAACAGATCATACCCCGCTTATCAATTCTTAGGCAGCCCCCAAAGTGCCAATTTGAAATAATTTAAAAAGCAAAGCAACTTGTGACATAAAAGGAGCATTAACTCTAAACAAAAGTAGAAAGAATCAGATGTAGAAAAAGGAATTAGTTTTGCAACATACACATAACCAATCACGTCAGCGAAGGGTTGTTTGTAGAAAGCTTCATCTGCCACCCTAGACAGCAAGAGGTCCAAAAGGCAGGCAAGCAGGCAGGAAAAAAGAGAGAACATTGAGAAGCAGAAACATCTAAAATCCACAATTGAGGTACAACTGTGCTCTGAGGAGCTGCTCCCAAGGCTCCTTCCTAACCCCCGTGAGGCTTCCAGCGCTGGAGACTTCAGCAGGCCTGGTTTCCCGCTGGCCTTCCCACGTGGGGACTGCTCCACGACAGAGCAAGCACTGCCAACTTCATCCCTTTGGCTCACCCCAGCAACACGGGCATTTATTAAGCACCCAATCATGGACTAAGCCCTTTCACATACATTATGTTGATTCAATCCTTAACTGTTAACAACCTATGACCCTGACTGTTCTCACCCCCACTGTACAGATGAGGTAACTGAGGCTTAGAGATGAACAACTTGCTCAGCTACACCACAGTGGCAGCATTCAGGACTCACAACCAAGGCAGCCTGGCCCTAAGTCCAGGGCTCTTTCTACTGTATAGTCATGCTTCTTCCCTGCTGTATGTGCCCAGAAAGCCACGCCACCTTCCTGTTTCAGTTAATGCACTGGGCAGGAATGCTGCCAGACACCAGATGCGCTAGGACCCAAAGCCAGTTTTATCTTGGATTATCTAACTACTGCTTCCCCACACTGTCTGGGTGGGATACACTTCCAGAATCCTGGGAACACATATCGTCATTTTAAAATCTCAACCTTACAGGAAAAAACGGCTGGAGGTGAGTGGTCTGGTGGGAAGAACACTGGACTAGGATCCTGGCCCTGGCTTCTGTTGTTCCTGAATATGGCTCTCTCTCTACTCAAGAAGCGGGTACAGTTTCTGAATATTTTTACACCAGACTCAATTGGCTTTGATAAGGTGCAGCCCAGAATCCAGAACTTCATCCCTTCTTAACTCTCAACATGGCAGGGCTCTCAGACAGGAAGGAGGGGGCAGACTGGGTGGATAAATTTTGACAGCAGGGGCCAGGCTGGCTTTGACTCTGTTGTCCTGGACTGACTCCCTGGGCTCTGCCAGCCCACTCTTCTCCACTGTGGCTGGACATGGAACCTCCCTCATGGAGTCTTACCCTGTCCTTTGTCAAGTCGATTTGGGGTGGGCAAGGGGAAAGACATTTTTCAAGGATAATCATGCCTGGTCATTAAGCTAACCTCACATACTTATTTGAAGGCAAATTCTAGTAATTTTAAGTTAATTTTTAAGCTCACACATGCCCTTCCTTCTTTCCCATTTTGTTTTATACACAGGAGGTGTTTTGTGGAAATTTAAAGAAAGCAAAAAGAGCAGGCTGATTATAACTTAAAGTGACTCAGCAGGAAAACAGAGTTGTTTGTGGGCAGAATGAGTGGGAGGAAAAGGCAAGGCAGGCTGGCTTATAAACCCATAACCCTTTTAGTTTACACAAAGGACTAAACCTGATCGATTTCAACTTGGGTTTCCCTCCACAAGAAGAGTAGAGGTTTCATGACTCCTGTCAAATCATCACTAAGACAACAAAAGTTTGAATGTCAGGCTCTTGCTCCTTTGCAGCTAGCCCAAGACCAAAGAGCTCCTCAGTGACAAGCACATCCCCTGTCAAGGTTGCAGGCCCAGAACAAACAGAAAATCAGACACACACACAGGTGGCCCTCCCCTTATTTGTCCTTCACTTGAAAGTAGCAATCCTCAGCCAAGGCAGGAAGGGGCTCAGGGAGGCTTAGGAGAGGGGAGGGAAGAGGAATACCTGACCTAGGACAAGCTCTGGAGGCACGAATACAATGCAGAACTTCATTCCATAAACAGCCTCAAAGTGGGCACAGAAAAAAATGTTTGCCATCTCTGAGAACTGTGGGTTCCCCAAACCTTCTCAAGCCTTGAAAGAGCTGACAAGCACAAGTGCTACCTGTAATAGGGGAAATGTTCTGGGGTTGTTCTTGATGAGCAAACTCATCCAGCTGCAGGAGTCAGTCACTGCTCTGGCTGGCTGGCTATGAAAAGGAAATTCTTTTCCATGGCTGTCACTGAATAATTCACAGCTCTTGTACTGTGACACTTAGGCCTCAACTTGGGATAAAAGAAGGGAGATGCAGTCTGGGGACTGACAATAGAGTACAGCACACCCACCCCCAGTGCAGTGCCAGGCGCGACGTGCTCCTAGTGCTTTGGTGACCCAGTGGTGAGGCAGCTGGAAGGCAGGAGGCCTGAGGATGCTCTCACAATTAACTGGATGCCCTTCCTGTCTCCGACTTTCCTCTTTCAAACTTCTCATCTTTCTGCCTTATCTCTCGGGTCCCCTTAACATCTAGCTACTGCAGAAGTCACCCAGAGAGAATCATACTTGCTTGAAATGAGCACCCCGTTTTCTTTTTTCTTTTCTTTTTTTCAGACTGAGTCTCGCTCTGTTGCCCAGGCTGGAGTGCAGTGGCGCAATCTCAGCTCACTGCAACCTCTGCCTCCCGGGTTCTAGTGATTCTCCTGCCTCAGACTCCCGAGTTGCTGGGATTACAGGCACACACCACCACACCCAGTTAATTTTCGCATTTTTAGTAGAGATGGGGTTTCACCATGTTGGGCAGGCTGGTCTCAAACTCCTGACCTCAAGTGATCTGCCCGCCTCAGCCTCCCAATGTGCTGGAATTACAGATGTTGAGTCACGGTGTCCGGCCCCCATTTTCTTTTCTAAAAATATTCACTCTTTACCCATAGACAGATAACAAGGATGAATTACTTTATACATCTAAATGGGACCTATTCCTTTGAACTCTAAAGTTTAGAGTCAAACATGGATGGAGAGGGGGAGTAGTCAGCAATATAAAAATCTCCAGGGGAGGGTGTAGACCCTTGGAAGAAGTCCCCCAAAGTGACTCTCAAATGGATCCCACCTCCAACCAGTGAAGAATCACTGGAATAAACTGTAAAAACCATCTCTTCTGTCCTAGAGCCCTGGTGACAATGGCTAGTGTGCCACTAGCGTTATGCTCTCAAGAGTCAGCCCTGTGCTGCAAGGTTCCCACAAGGCAAGTGACCTGCTTCCTAAGCAGCTCTACATTCTCAGTGAGCAGTGGGGAAGTTCCTTCTCTCTGGAACTTAAGAGGTTCATCTGTGAGACCAGCTTACCCAGCATTCTACAGTTCCAAGTACAGAAAGGTACCAAGGCCCAAATTCAATGCCTGGAGGGACTAAACTTTTAAGACTGAGCTCCTAAAAACAGGTGTCATGGCCAGGCGCGGTGGCTCACGCCTGTAATCCCAGCACTTTGGGAGGCCAAGGAAGGCAGATCACGAGGTCAGGAGATCGAGACCATCCTGGCTAACACAGTGAAACCTTGTTTCTACTAAAAACAGAAAAAAATTAGCTGGGCATGGTGGCGGGCACCTGTAGTCCCAGCTACTCGGGAGGCTGAGGCAGGAGAATGGCGTGAATCCAGGAGGTGGAGCTTGCAGTGAGCCGAGATCGCACCACCGCACTCCAGCCTGGGCAACAGAGCAAGACTCCATCTCAAAAAAAAAAAAAAAAAAAAAACAGGTGTCATTACTCCCTCTGAGAACAACGGATTCTGTATACAGAGAATATCCCTTTCTTGACAGTTCAGCAAAACTTCCTTGAAAAAAATTTCTGCAACAGAAAGGCTGTTACCAACATATTCATTATCTAAGTTTGAAAACTTGTGTTAAGTTATTGACGCATCACAGACCCAGAGCGGGGAGGGTCGGCACAGCTACAGTACTTCAGACTAAACTTAAATGCTGGGGTCGCAGGCTGGGGGAGTTCTCAGGGCTCGCAGGGTGCTTGCACACAGTCCCCACTCGGCTTTACCGATCTGAACTTCCACCTGGGAGAAAATCATCTTGAGGGAGCAGAGGACACAGGAGCCTGGACCTGTCAGCACCACCTACTGACCACAGGCTCAACAACAGCCCCACGTAGCTGATGGAAGCCATCACCACTGGCAACCCAGCCTGCACACCAGAGAGCAGTCCTGTGGGACTGGGACTGTGGAGTCCTGTGGACTCCACATGGAACCTGACAGGCACTCCTTGAGCACACCGCCCCCAGAGGAAAGTGACCAGGACACAGGCTCAAGCCGGAATCCAATGAGCTGAAGGGCTGCTAGCATATAAAAGAGAGTCCAACTGCTCTGTCATACTGGACCCACAATAGCACTGGCTGGCTGGCAAAGCCGTTAGCTCTCTCTCCTGCCACATCTCTGTCTAACAGAGCTGCCAGAGACAAGGGCACTTAACCCAACCTGCTTCCTGCCTCTGCATACGAGAACCCAAGGCTCTACCCTGAAAATTAAAAATATCCCCAGGCTCGGTCTGGCCCGTTTATACACTGAAGTGAATGGATTGACTATTCAGTGAAAGTTGGGCTCTGAACCTGCCTGCCCTGAGGGAAGCAACACCACATATCCTCTCTTTGCTGCTTCCAAGAAGGGCTCTAAGTGTAGGGCATTAAAGCCCAGCTGCTGGTGAGTAGTGATATGAGAATGAAAGCGTTTTTCTCCTCACAACTCCTTAACCATCAGTAACTAAATAAAATCTATTTCAAACAGAACATTTTTAAGAAGTCAATTCAAGACTTTTTAAGGCACAAATAAGTACCCACAGAACCCTCAATTCTAAAATAATCATGTTGGAACATCCTTGGCTGCCTAATTACAAAGCACATATTCCTGCCAACGGACCCCTTCATGAAGTGGCTTTCAGGGGGCAGGGCTATATTGAGGAGACTCAACATGACCAAGTCTATAATCATATCCAAAGTAACTAGATCTGGGTGTATTCATGACACCCAGCTTTCGTTTCAGGGTTCCATGGAAAGTAACTTTTCCCTTGGCTGAATCACACCATTACAGGTTATGCATATTAACCAAACTCTCAGAGAGCTAAGCTCACTACAATTGGGATGGCTAAACAATAGGGTGAATTATGCTCACAAGACCCGAGAGACTTGCAACCTGTTTCAAGCACTTTCTTTAAAAACTGCAGACATTTCACACTAAAGGAGGCAGAAGCCAAAAACCGAGACTGGATGCTGAGAATGGATTTGATTCAATTTTGGAAAACAAAGTGTGCTACAACCACCACGGACTGACCTGTTGTTTGCTTTTGTTTTCTGTAGCTGCTCGTCCTGTCTTGCATACCATTCTTCTAGCTCCTTTATTGCCTTTTCTTTCCACTCTGCTTCTTGCTTCCGAGAATTGGCATCTTTGAAGGGAGAGAAGAGAAAGACAATACAATTGAGGCAAAGTGCAAACTGAAGTTCATCAGTTTATTTTGGTCTTGCTGAACTTGTGGTGGGTGCAGGTCCATGTCTGTGTGCCTGTTGGGGGAGAAGAGTAGAGAGGGGAAGATAAACTTCTGTTTTCTCTGTTTGCACAACCAACTCTGATTTCAGTGCTTCTATTCCTGCCTGGTCTTTCCCACAGTCCTATTCCTGGTCTTATCCCAGTCCACTGACATCTTAGTGGGTCATTAGTTTTGTTTTGTCTTGTTTTGGGCAGAGCAAAAGAGAAGGGTGTATGTGGAAATACTGACTTCTATTATTAATAGGAAAAAAGCCTTCTGGGCACCAATTGGGGGAGAAACAATTATAGATGATTCTTTACCAATGCTGCCAATATTAGTTCATAGTAGGGTATTCATCTTAATCTTTTACCTCTTCTCCCAAACTAGTCCATATTCCAGGTTTGACAATGGTTTTGTGGAACACAAGGTGGCACTCTCATAACTAAATATGGTAGAAGCACTTCTGTGAGGCAGGGTGCTATTAGGACAATTACCAAAGGTAGAGATGATTCAGGAACCAGAGAATGATAGAACACAGAATATTAGCACTAGAGAGGACCACAAAGCATCTACTCCTACTTGGTCTGCAGTGTGTTTGTGGCAGAGCCAGGGCAGAGCTACAAAAGAAACTCCACTGGAGAGAAGTGCAGGGGGTAGAGGTATGGGATCATTGCTAACAGTTAACCTAAAGGTTCTA
Organism: Homo sapiens; assembly: GCF_000001405.40. Lineage (NCBI taxonomy): Eukaryota > Metazoa > Chordata > Mammalia > Primates > Hominidae > Homo > Homo sapiens. The sequence goes on along the minus strand of NC_000009.12, from coordinate 36,203,289 downwards.
GAAATGACAGCAAGAAAATGCATACCTAGCAGGTTTGCTAGATTGGATTCTCAAACATGAAACATGAAGTTTCTGAGGACTAAATATGGTTTTCTCTAAGACACTAAGCTGAAGAGACATACATCAGTAGATAGTGAGAGATAAAGAAATACATGCCGGCTGCTTGTGGTGGCTCACGCCTGTAATCCCAACACTTTGGGAGGCCGAGGCAGGTGGATCATCTGAGGTTAGGAGTTCGAGACCAGCCTGGCCAACATGGTAAAATCCCGTCTCTACTAAAAATACAAAAAATTAGCTGGATGTGGTGGTGCATGCCTATAATCCCAGCTACTGGGGATTACTGGGGAGGCTGAGGCAGGAGAATCGCTTGAATCTGGGAGGCAGAGGTTGCAGTGAGCTGAGATCGCACCACTGCACTCCAGCCTAGGCAACAAAGTGAGACTCTGTCTCAAAAAAGAAAAAAAAAAAAAAGAAATACATGTCATAGCTACTGAGGCAGCTGACACTTGAAGTTAACCTGATACTTCACTTTAAACAAGTTCTTCTGTCTGGCAGGTGTTTTATAGACATCTAACTCAATCTTTACAACAATCCCAAGAAGGTAAACTCTGATCACATTTTCAGCAGTGAGAAAAACTAAAGCTCAGAAAGTTTGAGTGAATTTCCTAAAGGTTATAGTAAGTGACAGAGCCAAGATTCAAACCCAGATCTGGCTGTAAAGCTTACACTTTGCTTACCTCATTATGCTTCCTCCAAAGGGAGGGACAGAAAGGGAGGCAAGCCTAGAAATAATCACAAAACGTGACCACCAGTGATCTGGACAGAGTTTTGAAAGTGCAGACCAAGAGCCCAAACTGTAATTAGTGTCTTTGAGAAGGAGAGTAGATAGCAGTAGCGGTGTCAAGTAACTACTAGAAGGGATGAAAAATGAAGTATTCTTGGGCATTTTTAGGGCCTTTGCAAGAAAGGTCTTATAGTAACAACCTGCAAAAGGCTGTGTGTAACTATAAGAAAAAGCCTAATAGCAGCTAGAAACTCCCCCAAGTTTCAGGTTAGTAGGAACGTTCATCTCGGTATCTAATTTGTCGGAAGGTGATCTGTCGTTCAGAAGAATCATTTTCTCAGATTTTTCACTGATGACTCTAAAGTATATACAGTAAACTTTTTTTTGTTTTATTTGAGATAGGGTCTCGCTCTGTAGCCCAGGCTGTACTGCAGTAGTTCTATCACAGCTCACTGCAGCCTCAATCTCCCAGGCTCAAGTGATCCTCCCACCTCAATCTCCTAAGCAGCTGGGACCACAAGCGTGCACCACAACCCCCAGCTAATTTTTTTTTTTTAGTAGAGATAGGGTCTCACTATGGTGCCCAGGCTGGTCTTGAACTCCTGAGCTCAAGTGATCCTCCCACCTCAGCCTCCTAAAGTGCTGGGATTACAGACCTGAGCCACACCACCTAGCCTCTACAGTAAACATCTAATATGTGTCTATCCATGGCATGAAGTACAGATGTGGAATGCAAGATTTAGCTATGCTGCAATGAGAAGCTGTGGGCTGGAAGTGCCATGTGACAATACCTAATTCAAAATGTAAGGCCCCCTTTTCAATCATGGTGAAATTACTTCCAAATAATTACCTTTTTGATTGGACAGTATTTTCTTTCAATGTATTTTGATGTTAACATTTACTATACATTAGGACTAAAATATAAAATTTATCTCTGAAAAATGAAATTAAATAAAAATGGTGACCTCCTGAACAGACTGTGGTTACTGCATAAAATAGTACATTTAAATTGGTCTTCTGGCTTTTGCAGCTTTAGTGCCACTGCAATACTAATTTAGAATTCTTCCCCTCAGAGGATGAAGAGGAAGAGTCCCCTTAGAGAGCAAAGCACATTCACAGGTGCCTTCCCTTCTGGCCACCCTCGTTACTGGTCAGAGAAAAGAAAATTACTTGAGAATGTAGCCAGCAGCTAGGCTGAAAACCACTGGCACCGGTTCTCTATTTTTAGCATCGCGTGCTTTCTCACAGTTTTTGCAAGGAAAAAAGGTGAAATTGAAGGAACACCTTGTTCATGAACCAAGTGAATTCAATTCAGTTGGAATGCAAGGCCAAATGTTGTACTTCTCTCAAAAAAAGCACTTTGAATTAAGAAAACAGCTCATAAGAGTATTCCCCAAGTACCCAATTTCATAATTGAAAAATTAAATCTTTCCAGACACCAAAGTAGACTCTCTCCATGGAGAAGAAAAACTGCTAGAGCTTGGTAAAACAGAAAAGATAAATTTGGGTTCTGTAACATGAAAAATACTACAGCAGTACTAAGACCAGCTAAATCTTGCCTCTAAGCATACTCAAGAGACACAAAGAACAAGCAAGGACCAAAGCTGTTAGGACCTATTTTCATCTTCCTACAGCTCCACTGTCCAATATGGTAGCTACTAGCTACATGTGGCTACTTCAATGTAAATTTATTAAAATTAAAGAAAATTTAAAATTCAGTTTCTCAGTCACACTTGAATTGTGAAGCCACACTTCAAGTACTTAACAGTTACATGTGGTTAGTGGCTACCATACGAGACAGCACAGATACAGAATATTTCCACCAAAGAAATCACTAATGAATGGTGCTATAAAGGTTCAAATACTAAGTGCATTCTTTGTTCTGAAAGCCACCTAAATTGGACTAGAGAGATAAATGATTTGGCACTAATTGGCTGTGTCATCTGGGTCATGTCCCTTCCTATTTCTGGGTGTCAGTTATCCCATCTGAAAAATAAGGACTCATGTTTTCACTAGTTCAACAGTTCCCAAGAGGGAATAATACTGCTGACGTTGTGGTTACATAGGAGAATGTCATTATTTCTAGGAGGTGTACATTGAAATATTTAGACACAAAGTATATGATGTCTTTATCTTAAAGTAGGTCAGCCAAAACAATTTGTGTGTGTGTATGTCTAAAACATATCATTTATATAAAGATAATCCATTAATTACTGAATCTGGGGGTGCACATGTTTATTTTCCTCCTTTCAATTGTTCTGTAAAGTTGAGAAAAGATGAATCTTAAAGTCAGCTGATTAAAAAAAGAAAAAGAAAAAACAAAGAAAAGGCCACAATGTGGATTATATCCTCACACTCTGCATACTTCTCCAATCCACCATGTACAGACACAAGTCTCCCCTGATCATGAACCAACAGGTGACACTCCACGTACACATCTCTTTATCAAAGGCCAGGCTGTGTGGCTAGATGGCCACGCACATTAAATGTTTAGAAAGCAATGTGGCTGATGGGGATGGGTAGTGACTTTGAAGCAAGGCAGACTTCAGCTGAAATTGTGACTCTTACCATTCCTTAGCTGAGTATTCCAAATACTTATTCTACCTCTCCTCCACTTTTCTTACCTGTAAAATTGTAAAACTTACCTTACAGAGATATTAAGGTAGGAAAAACAAATTGTACATTTTTTCCTAACATACCTCATTTTCCTCGTGTTACTTTAAATTCATTTAGCCTTCAAATAAAAAATGGAGGCCGGGCGCGGTGGCTCACGCCTGTAATCCCAGCATTTTAGGAGGCCAAGGTGTGTGGATCACAAGGTCAGGAGATCGAGACCAACCTGGCTAACACGGTGAAACCCTGTCTCTACTAAAAATACAAAAAAAAAATGAGCGGGACGTAGTGGCGGGCGCCTGTAGACCCAGCTACTCAGGAGGCTGAGGGCAGGAGAATGGTGTGAACCCGGGAGGCAGAGCTTGCAATGAGCCGAGATCGCACCACTGCACTCCACCCTGGGTAACAGAGTGAGACTTCATCTCAAAAAAAAAAAAAGAAAAAAGAAAAAAGAAAAATGGACTGTTAAAGTCCACGGACATAGGAAACTTGAATCCTTCAAGTTTATAAAGCACTCTATAAACACCACCTGAGGCTACTCTTGAGGTCAGGAGCAGCATCACTATGCTCTTCCTGTGAGAGGATCTTGGGGATCTCCGGCTACCCTACTCCTCACACAATGGCCTGTGATTAGGCATCTCTGTGCAGGTAGCCTTGTAACCTTCAGGCTGAGAAGATATCTTCCCAAAGACCAGACAATGACACTGGTTAATGTGAGCTAAAAAGGAATAAAAGTAGAGTCCAGCTCAACTACTCCACTGAAAACAGACACCAAAACACAGAAGGGATTCCTTACCAAGGGCTTCCAAGCGTTCCATTTGTTCTTCTCTCCATTTACGGATACTTTCAGGCTCTGACTGCAATCGATCCACTTGTGAAATAGCTGCATAACTGTCTGTTGGACCATTACTTTCCTTAACACAAAACACAATTGTGCTATATTAATACCAAAAATTCCTTCCTAAAATGCACTTCACCTGAGTTAGAACCCCTGGTTCTGTTTTTTTTTTTTTTTTTTGAGACAGAGTTTTCACTCTTGTCGCCAAGGCTGGAGTGCAGTGGCACGATCTCGGCTCACTGCAACCTCCACCTCCCGGGTTCAAGCAATTCTCCTGCCTCAGCCTCCCGAGTAGCTGAGATTACAGGTGCCTGCGCCTGGCCTATGTGGTTGCTTTTTTTTTTTTTTTTTTCTGGGGTGGGGGAAGGGGGGACGGGACAGGGTCTTACTCTGTCACCCAGACTGGAGTGCAGTGGCGCAATCTTGGCCAACTGCAACCTCTACTCCCCGGGTTCAAGCAAATTCTCCTCTTGCCTCAGCCTCCCCAGTAGCTGGGATTACAGGCACATGCCACTACCGCCTGGTTAATTTTTGTATTTTTAGCAGAGACGGGTTTCACTGTGTTGGCCAGGCTGGTCTCGAACTCTTGACCTCAAATGATCCACCCACCCCAGCCTCCCAAAGTGCTGGAATTACAGGCGTGAGCCACCGTGCCCGGCCTGTGTTGTTGCTTTTAAGGTAATCCTTTAACATTTTACAAAAGCCGCCATTGTTGTTAGAAACGGGTTCTGCAGTGAGCCAAGGTTGCGGTGGCTCTGGCGGGGTGCGGTGGCTCACGCCTGTAATCCCAGCACTTTGGGAGGCCAAGGCGGGATGGTCACTTGAGCCCAGGAGTTCAAGACCTGCCTGGCCAACATGGCGAAACCCCATCTCTACTAAAAATACAAAAAATTAGCCGGGCGTGGTGGCATGCGCCTGTAATTCCAGCTACTCAGGAGGCTGAAGTGGATGAATCGCTTGAACCCAGAAGGTGGAGGTTGCAATGAGACAAGATCGTGCCACTGCACTCTAGCCTGGGCGACAGTGAGACTGTCTCAAAAAAAAAAAAAAAAAAAAAGACTCAAATAAATGTTAATCTTTACAAAATTATTCCATATGCCACTCACTGAACTAAGGAATATTAATATTACCAGGTTAACCTAATCAGACTATAAACAAAGATGGAAGGAGAATTATTTAAAGTATTAGTATTAACTTACTGCACTCAACACAGTATCATTTGAATGGTGATTTCTTTAGAATAAAGGTGATAACACTAGGGGCAGGTAAATAACATTTTTAAACAGTTCTCTTTTTATCAATGCTACCTCTCTTTAAATCTTTCCACTTTGGTAGATAACACACCAGCCAGTAATACATTCAGGAAAGTCAAAGGACTGGGGTTTCTTTCTAGGTCAGTCAATTAAAATCACAGGAAAGGAAGATTCTCAATCACTATCAATGAACAGAATCAGAGTACTCTGTACCTGGTAGTATTCACCATTCATTACTCCATCAACAGCATCTGCAAGACATAAGATTTTGGTCTATCAATAAGGACTGGTCAAACACTGGGCCAAAGGGTTGTACAGTAGAATACAGCATCATATGCTGTATGAACCTTGAGCTACTAAATGCTATCCCTGTGGTAGGTGCTATATACAACAAATAAAACCAAGATGTGCTTATATACAAATTTCACCAAAATGTGTACACATCTGTCCTTAAGCTCCCAAGTCCAAAAGCTTTTGATTTTATTTTCTGTTTTCTATTTTACAGTGGTAACAAATGGAAGACTAGCAGAAAGAGAACAGTGTTTCTCTATGAAAATTCTGCATGAGGGAAAAAAAAAAGTGTGGCCTGGAATCACCCATAGTGAGCAGAGACCTGCAGCTTCATCTTTGAGACAGTCTTGCTCTGTCGCCCAGGCTGGAGCAAAGTGGCCCAATCATGGCTTACTGTAGCCTCGACCTTTTGGGCTCAAGCGAACCTCCCACCTCAGTCCCCACAGGAGCTGGGATTGCAGGCATGCGCCACCACGCCTGGATAATTTTTCTATTTTTTTGTAGGAAGGGGGTTTCGCCATGCTGCCCAGGCTGCTATCGATTTCCTGGACTCAAGCGATCCACCCGCCTCGGTCTCCCAAAGTATTGGATTACAGGCATGAGCCACCATGCCTGGCCTCTCATATTTTTCTTAATTTTCCTAGTTGACTTTTACTCCTATATGTCAGTACAAAAATGAGTTTCTTATAGTTTGTCAGTGGCCTTTTACCACTTTAAGGCATGTGCCACCTACCTATGTAGTTTTTTAAGCACTCTATAAAGTTTTGGAAATATGAAGTTTATCAAACTAGTGAAAGCATGGGGGAAGCATATTCAATTTCGCCTCTGTAATAAATTTCTTGGTGTAGAATTGCTGGGTTACAGCTGGGCGCGGTGGCTCACACCTATAATCCCAGCACTTTGAGAGGCCAAGGTGGGAGGATCACTCGAGGTCAGGAGTTCAAGACCTGCCTGGCCAACATGGTGAAACCCACCTCCATATACTAAAAATACAAAAATTAGCCAGGGTGGTGGCATGAGCCTGTAATCCCAGCTACTCAGGAGGCTGAAAGAGGAGAATTGCTTGAACTCGGGAGGCAGAGGTTGCAGTGAGCCAAGATCGCGCCACTGCACTCCAGCCTGGGTGACGGAGCGAGACTCCATCTCAAAAAATAAAAAAAAAAAAAAAGAAAAAAGAAAGAAAAAAAAGGAATTGCTGGATCACAGGATATGTATTTTATTTTTTTTTGAGAGAGAGTCTTGCTCTGTTGCCCAGGCTAGAGTACAGTGGTGCAATCTTGGCTCACTGCAACCTCCACCTCCTGGGTTGTTCAAGTGATTCTCTTGCCTCAGCCTCCTGAGTAGCTGGGACTACAGGCGTGAGCTATCATGCCCACCTAATTTTTTTTGTAGTTTTAGTAGAGACGGGGGTTTCACCACGTTGGCCAGGATGGTCTCGAACTCCTGACCTCAGACGATCCACCCACCTCAGCCTCCCAAAGTGCTGGGATTACAGGCATGAGCCACTGCGCCCAGCCAGGATATGTATTTTTTTATTTTTTTTGAGACGGAGTCTCACGCTGTTGGCCAGGCTAGAGTACACTGGCGCGATCTCGGCTTGCTGCAACCTCCGCCTCCCAGGTTCAAGTGATTCTCCTGCCTCAGCCTCCCGAATAGCTGGGATTACAGGCACGTGCCACCATGCCCGGCTAATTTTTGTATTTTTTAGTAGAGACGAGGTTTCACTATGTTGGTCAGGCTGGTCTCAAACTCCTGACCTCAGGTGATCCGCCCACTTCAGCCTCCGAAAGTGCTGGGATTTCAGGCGTGAGCCACCGCACCTGGCCCAGGATATGTATTTCAAAGACTTCTAAAATTCTACCCACTTGTTCCTATTAGTCTACCAGTTTATATTACTACTAGCAGCACAAGTGCCCCATTTCTTAGACCTTCCCTGATACTAGGGACTGTGCTTGATCATGTTTTAAAATTTTTGCTAATTTGATAATGGAAAAAAAAAACAAACTCATGGTGGCTTTGTTGTGCCAATCTTATTTCCAGTGAGGTAATCACATACCCGACACCTGATTTTCTTCTTTACTGAATTTTCTGAGTTTGCCTATTTTCCTGCTATTTTTTGATCTCTAAGTATTTGCTCTCTAATAGTCAAATATTTTCCCTAGTTTCTCTTTTGATTTGGTTTATGGTATTTAACACTTGGAACAACTTAATTTGTGTATGTAGACATGATCGACTTTTTCTTCATGATTTCTGTATCTGCTTTTATGCTGAAGGCCTTTCCTATTATGAGATAGACAAATACTCACTTTTCTTCTTTTACTTTTTAAATGTCTCTCTTTAATCCACCTGGAATTTATTTTTGTGTAAGACAGAAGAGTGAGATAGTTTTAAATCCTAGATCCTACAGTGGCTAGTCTGGCCAGGCCTACATTATGGTTAATATAGTACAATTGACATACCAACTATCCACTAATATAGTCCAGCCCTGGGCTGGAATATGAGAGACTTTGATCACTACTCCATATACAAAACAAGAAGCAATCCTCATCCCACATCTCCTTAAAAATCACATGCTGTCTGAAGGCTCCTCCAGACCCACTGGCATCTGCTTTCCTCTTTATTAGTTACTGTATTACTGCACTAACATTCTTACAAGAATCAACTGGCTCAAGCCAAGGGATCGTCTGTTGCTGTGGAAACATGCAGAAAGGACATGTAGGGCCTTGACTTACTACAACAACTAAACTAAGCAACACGATGCTTCAGAAGGAAACTTTCTAGGGCCTTTCAGGAACTCCAGACAGAAAAAGGGCCAGTTTTCAAAAGTGAAAGACTGTCCCAAACCCACTTTCAACTTTCCACATTCCAGAAACATTTGAAGTCAAGCAGACCTACGTTTGAAGCTGCACTTGAGCCATTTATTACCTTGCTACCTTAGTGACACTGCTCAACTTCCACACCGATCCATTCTCATCTGAAATATGACACTACCACTTAACCTGTGGAGCTACTGCTGGGATCTGAAAGTGTACCTGGTATACAGCAAATGTGCAGTACAATTAACTATCATGCATGAGATTTCCCTAAACTTCCCTCCACCACTGCTACCAATAAAATTACTTCTCCAGAAAGCTTCCCTTTAATTCACCCATGTCTCTTTCTTCTCCTACAAGAAATAACTTGTCACCGGGTGCGGTGGTTCACACCTGTAATTCCAGCACTTTGGGAGGCCAAGGCGGGTGGCTCACCTGAGGTCAGGAGTTTCAGACCAGTCTGGCCAACATGGTGAAACCCCGTCTCTACTAAAAATACAAAAAGTTAGCTGGGCACGGTGGTGGGCGCCTGTAATCCCAGCTACTCGGGAGGCTGAGGCAGGATAACTGCTTGAACCCAGGAGGCGGAGGTTGCAGTGAACCGAGATCGCACCACTGCACTCCAGCCTGGGTGACAGAGCGACTGTCTCAAAAACAACAAAACACCATAATAGTGCCTTACTGCTGTACTCTCTCTGTGGCTTGTCTCTCCTGTTCTCTTCCCCGACTCAGCCCTCATGATTGAGAGCTTTTCAACAGCTCCACTTGTGCTGCCTCCTTCATGACCACCTGTTCTTCCTCAATATCCCCCACAGCTGGTTACCTCAATATCACTTCACCCAGCTGGTTTCTTCCTGCCTCTAAACCTACGTCTCTTTTCTGGATCTCTTAACAACCAAAGGAGTCATCCAAGGCTTAGCCCTAACCCCTCTGGTTTTTGCCTGTGCCCATCCTCCATAGACGCTTTCCGCAAGGCTGGGGCCAGTTTATTTTCCTCTCATCAATCTGTCATAGCTGACTGCCTATATATCTCTGTATAATACATCAGAAAGAGAGCTCCCGCCTAAAACCTCAATTTACTCAGTACACTTCAAAGCCTAAAGGCCTTGTAACTCCTTTCTCCCACTAATAGTAGCTGGAATTCACTAGATACTTAATATAACTGTAAGCACTTTATAGACACTCTTTAATGTAATCCTAAAGATGCCACATAGCATTATAAATTATATTATGCAACTTTTACAAAGGAGAAAACTGAGGCCGGGCAGTGGTGGTAGTTATATACATTGTCTGAGATCACAAAGCTAAACTCACACTCAAGCAGTTTAGGATAGCATAGAATCTTAACCACTAGAGCATATCTTTAAAAAAAAAAAAAAAGAAGGAAAAAGAAAACTAAGAGAGAAAAAGTGTCCAATCAGTTCTCTAAACTCCAAAGGAAATGCTGACCACTGCATATTACCAACTTCAATTACACTGTCAGGAATCTGGCTTTAAGTCACCAAATGCTTAGTTCACTAAGAAAGTCCCTCCTAGGAACTAAGTCAGCAACCATTTCTTTCCTTCCCTTTGCCGAAGGCTTGATGCACAAAGGACCGAGCATCCAACTCTATTCTCTCCCTTTTACCTTCCCTAACTGCCCGTCACCAAGATCTGTCAGTTCTACATAGGACCCTTGGATCTGACATTTTTGCCCATTTCTTTGTCAAACGTGAGCATCTACTACATGTCAGACACACTGCTAGGCAGTGGAGATAAAACAGTAAGGGTAACACTGTCCTTGAATCAGGACAATCTTCCAACTACAGATCTTGGGTTCTGCTTCTCCCAAATCTGTTCCACCTGGGACAGCCACAGCTGCCTGTCTGTTATCGCACTACACCCCTGCTAAAACAACTAAACACTGCAACAGAATGTGGTATATTCTAAGAGTGGGTAGACTTGGGGCTCAGCTATTAACTCGTGCTTTTTTAAGCAAGTCGTTTCTCTCTAGGATTGCTTCTCTTCTATTAAATGAGGAAGGTTAAACTAAGGGTCTAAGAAGTCAATTTTAAAATTCTCAGACAAATGTTAGAGACCACCCAATGAAAATATCCCCTAATCACTTAAGGCCAACTTCATCTCACAATCACAGCCTAGTTTAGTCCAACCTACCCGCTATAAAGTTGCATATTCGGGCATATTACATGTTCCCACTAAGTTCTTATTGGGGGACTGATTTGTTTAGGAAGCAACATGGTGCAGTCAAAAACTCAAGAGGCTGCAAACTAGCAGCACACCCACCAACCCATCCATCAAAAGGTTCCGCCTGGCTGGCACAGTAACTTGAGACTGCTGGATCTGAATGCCTTTACACAGAGCACTACTATAGTGCAGCAAAGCCTCAGTCTCCAACACTTCTACTGTCTCATGTCAAGCCAGCTTCTCTCGTATATGTTACCTACCTGGCTCCTTAAGGTTTGAATTTAGGGTAGACACTACTCCTATATGCCCCAGTAGTGCCCTATTCTCCCTTAGTTGGAATTTTTTAAGTGAATGAAAAGCCGTATTTCATTTCTTCTAGCTAAATTTCCTACTTCTTTGTATTATTAAGTAGGTCTTTTCCACTCATGATCCTAAGCATCACACACAGGTTAAGGCATCCAAAGGTCAAACTGCCATCCTACCTGCCCCATTTTTACTTGAGTTTGGCTGAGAACATTCTCTATTCACCTCTTCATCCCTCCCTGATTGGTTTAGGCTAATCTTGGGTTCTGCTTAGGCAATATTGCCTACCAAAGCTGTTCCCAGAGGAAGAGCTCCAGAAGTCCTAGCTGTAAATCAATCGCTCAACGATAGCAAACTCCTACCGCGCTTGGCAGTTCTTTCTCCAGACCTAGATCATCTTTCGAGTTCCCTACTCCCTCCTTCCTCCTCGTAATCCAACACTCTGTACACCTTAAGTGCTTAAATGCTGAACTGCATTGCTACTTTTGTTTGTATCTCTCAAAAACGATATTTCCATTCTTATTTTTTTCCGCCCTCCTTTTCTAATAACGAGTTCTGTGCTCGGCTCAGACTTATAAGCTTATAAGTCTGGAAAAACTGCGCCAATGCGGTTGCTTCAGAGACCGGACTAAAGGCACAGCAAATGCTTAATGAAAAGTTGCTGAATTGAACGGGCTTCTTCCGGCTCCGGAGCCTGCCACCCTACACTTGCTTTCTCGCTCCGCCCGCGCCCAGAAGCACTCAAACATGCTGAGAACCGAACAGGCTTCTCGAGCCTAGGTTTCTGAAAGACCGGGCCAGGGTCTCGTTTCCTGTTTGCACTGCTCCCTAACCTCCTAATTCAGCAAGGAGCACGAGTCACACAGAAGCTCTCGGACCCACTGTGGACCGAGTTTCCAGACAAGTCCTCTCGCCCCAAACGCGCCCGCACTCTCACCCGGACCCCCCGGCGGCTCGCCGTGCGGCTGGGGCCCGGGGGCGCCGCCGTCCAGGATGGCGAAGGCCTCGTCGTTCTCGATGCCCGCAATCTCGCTCTCTTGCTGCGCCAAGAAGGCCGCAGCCGGGTCTTCTTCGCCGGCGCCGGCCACTCCGTTCCCCAGCGCGGGACCGCCAGGGGCGCCGGCAGGGGCGCCGAACGGATCCAGCTCAGCCATGGCGGGCAACTGAACGGCACGGACACCAACGGTGAGACAAAAACCAACCGACCCACCGACACCACGCCCGGCAGCCACCGCTGTGGTGCCGACTGGGAGAGGAGGACAAGCGCCAGGAGGGAGACGGGTAAAGCGGAAGCCCTACCCGTGTATCCGGTCGGTCTAGGCGGTGTTGCAGAGCCGAAAAGGGAACAACCAATCAGAGGACAACAATGGTTCAGGAGCTACCCAATCAGCAAGTGGAGGGGCGGTCCCCCTAAAACAACTCGTGACTGGGGTAGGGCGGGAGGTGAGGGAGGTGAGCTGCGCGGGCCCCGGGAGGCGGAAGTGCTGCCTGATAGGGAGCGTCCTACCCACCCCGTCTGCTGGAGCTGGACTGACCAGGGACGGCCACCCCTGAGGGGACTCTAGTGCTGCACTGGGAGGTGAGGTGAAGTTAGGGCAGCGACGATTGGCCGATTACTGAAGAGGCATGCCACTTAGGCTTTCTGAACCTCAGTTTCCTCATTCGTAAAATAGAAACAAGAATCCTGCTCTTGCGCCCCCTCCCGGGATTATTAGAAGATTGAATCCTAAAAAAAAAGAAGAAGAAGATTGAATCCTTTTATGGATTTGAGGGTCCCTGGCTTTATAAATTTAAAATATTTAATTCTTTCAGCCAGCCTGGATTATTTGCTCCCTTAGAGCCCATAGATTTACTGTAATTGATTCAGTCCACTCCGATTTTTCTCGCCCATAAGTATTTTTATTTAAAAATGAATATATCTTATCTTCTTCAACGAAGCACTTTTGCAGCCATTACGTCTTTTCGGAGCTAGACAGAAGTTACTAAACCTGGAAAATTCCTTAAGGATCACTTGCTTCAAAGGGAGACACGGTGGCCCTGCTGTTCAAGGAGCGTCAGTGACCCAGAGAGTCAGTGACCAAGAGGAAACGCCTGTCTCCTGGGGACTTCCAAGATACTAGCTACAGTCTCTTATATTTACACCTTTCCTCCCTAAGGACAGCAGGAAAAAGAAAGTTCCGTGTTTCTTTTTAAATCAGGGAGATGTTAATAGCTACATGGCTCATTTTGTCTACACCACAGAAATAACAGTGGTTCCAGTTAATCATGCTCATGTTGAGGGGGAGTGCTTATGCAGGGGCCACCAGAAGACCCCTCTCCTTCACTACCACCACCACCACCCTAAGAAATGAAAAGCCAAAAAAAGAAACCAAAAAACCAGAGGTCAACAAGAAGCTTCCAGAGGTAGTCAGCAGGGGACAAGAAAGTGTTTTTATAAAAAACGCACATATCTTTGATGACAAAAAAAAAGGGATAGCTATGAAGGAAAAATGAAGCAAATAAAAATTATTTAAAGCATATATTTACTTAAAGCATAATTTTAAAGTCATTTAAAGTATGAACCATAGGAAAGTGTTGAAGAAAAACATTTAAGAAAGTTAAAATGTTAGGGTCTGCAATTGATTCTGTTTCCCCTTGTCTGTTGTTTTATGCTCATCCCTAACATACATTGGCAACAGTGCATGAAGTATTTTCACATTAGCCTTGACATAGTCTCATGAGGAAAAGAGGGGCAGGGACTACTATGAGAGAGCCCAAGGAAGACAACTTTTAGTTGCTCACAACAGTAGTAGCTCCGGAACAGACAGCATTCTTTTTGGGGAAATGCATGACTTTGGGAGAAACTCTCCTGTGATTCCCTTGCTAGAGGAGGCATTACATATTATGCAAAAGCAACAAACAAGTATACACTCAAAATTGGAGGAATAGCTGATGTGTTTACGGATGATTTCACAGAGGTGGCTTGGAGCTCAGTTTTGAAATATGGGGAACGTTTAGAAGAGTCAATAATGAGGGTCTAATGTTAGTGTCATGTAAAAGTTCAGAGGTGGGAAAATGTTTGGCATGTTTTGGGGACAGTGAGTAAATTAGTTGGAGTCTGAAGAGCTCAGCAAGATGAATAATTGAAGGAAAATCTGGGGACAGATTCTGGAGCCCTGAAAGCATTCCATGTTAAGGAATCTTAATGGCAATAAGGAACCATAGAAGGTTTCAGATAAAGGAATGTTTTGATCAACTGCTGCTTAGGAGGTTAATCGGGTCCCTGGTTGCAGGATGGATGGGGCAGAGGCTGTGGGCAGAGATGTCAGGAGTGACATGATGAAGGTCTGGGCAGGGCAGAGGTATGGAGCTGAGTGGGGAGCGTTGATGGGAAAGCGGGTCCCAGTAGGGAAGTGACTAACTTGGTGACCGACCAGAGGTACGGGCTGGGAAAAAGGCAAGGGGAAAGGATGGGGTCATAAATCATGAATCTGTGAAATTGCCAGAACCATTAGTTTGAGGGCTTTGGGGGAGCCCAGGTGATTGCTGGGAGACAGAAGATTTAGAAGATGTCCAGGAACTAGAAGTGTGTAGCCTGCCATGATCCCTGGTGGACTGAACAAAGGTGGGTGGGCAATGGGAATAAAAGACAAGACAAAAGAGTATATTTGGAAGAAGGGGTCAGGGGGCACTTTGCCTCTAGTGGACAAGGGCCCTGAGTTTTACACATCCCTCCGTATTTCGTAGGCAAAAGAGAGCGAGAAAGGGGGGGTGATTGTCGGTAATTGTCAGTTAGAGGTTTGGTTCACAGCAGGCTTGTGAGACTGCATCTTTTGAACAATAGGTGCTAGATTTCTTAGATAACTTCAAGGAGCCCTGCACCAAGGAGTGATGTCCATCAGCAAACCTTTTGGTGGCAGGTGCAGTGTGTTTGCTCACATCCTACATTCATGATAAACAGTTTGCTGTTTGATCATATAGCCTCCAGTGGAATGCTGAGTTGGTCACGATCCCTTTGGCCTTTTCGGCTCCCAACAGAAGTGTGTATAGGAGAGAGTGGGACCACAGATGGAGACTAGAGAGGGAAGGACTGAGGCCTAAATCTTGGAGGATGGCTATATGTGAAGGAGGTAGAGGGGTGGGTCAGAGAGATTGGAGAGGGTTCAGTTAGAGCTGGGTGATGGAAGTCAAGCAGAGTTTGCAGAAGGAAGGAGTGACTAGCAGAAAGGTGAAGAATGAGAGCTGAGCAGATGCTCTTGGCCATCAAGTTCCCTGGTCACCTTGGTGAGAGAGATGTCAGTGGATGCCAGGAGTGGAAATCAGTTTGCACTAGGTTGAGGGATGGAAGCATAGTGGACATCTGTTGGTTCTGCCTGCCTACATCCAATTCCCTTTGTTCTGATACCAGCACTCCAATATTCCTTTGGGGAACCATTCTTCCTCATTTTCAGTTTTGTGGTTTGGATTGAGTGGACCACCCCCATGTGACCCAGGCCTGGCCAATTAGAACATCCCATTCCCTGCCCAAATGATTGGGAATGGACAAGTGAGTCAAACCAGGCTCATGAGGCTCAATTCCAGGACTGTTACTAGAATCTTAGGGAAAGAGCTAACTCTTTCTGCTGGAGCTGACAAGCAGGCAAAGTGTAAGCTTAGAGCTTCTTGTGGTCATCTTGTCATCAAGAGGAGAGATTGAGAGTGAGAATGAGGTCAACATGGAGGAATGCAGAGAGTGAGAAAGACAACTTCCTGTTGGTATCATTGAGGACCTGGATTCAGCCATGCTTGAAGTGAAAGATCTACTTCTGTACTTTTTGGCTCTGTGAACAAATAAATTCTATTTTTTTTCCCCTTAAGACAATTTTGAGTTGTGTTTCTGTCATAAAGAATTCTGCCTAATCCAGGCCAGGCACAGTGGCTCACGCCTATAATCCCAGCACTTTGGGAGGCCAAGATGGGTGGACCATTTGAGGTCAGGAGTTCGAGACCAGCTTGGACAACATTGTGAGACCCCGTCTCCACTAAAAATACAAAAATTAGCCAGGCATGGTAGTGTGCACCTGTAATTCCAGCTACTCAGGAGGCTGAGGTAGGAGAATCGCTTGAACCCAGGAGGCGGAGGTTGCAGTGAGCCGAGATCACGCTGCTGCACTCCAGCCTGGGCAACAGTGTGAGACTCTGTCTCAAAAAAAAAAAAAAAAAAAAAAGAATTTTGCCTAATATAGAATGAGAAGTGAGGGCAAATTTAAATGTAGAAGACATTAGAAAACTTTGCAGCCGGGCACCGTGGCTCACACCTGTAATCCCAACACTTTGGGAGGCCGAGGAGGGTGGATCATCTGAGGTCAGGGGTTCGAGACCAGCCTGACCAACATAAAGAAACCCCGTCTCTACTAAAAATACAAAATTAGCTGGGTGTGGTGGCACATGCCTGTAATCCCAGCTAACTCGGGAGGCTGAGGCAGGAGAATCACTTGAACCCAGGAGGCGGAGGTTTGCGGTGAGCCGAGATCACGCCATTGCACTCCAGTCTGGGCAACAAGAGTGAAACTCCGTCTCAAAAAAAAAAAAAAAAAAAAAAAAAAGGTTTGCAATGAGGGCCGGGCATGGTGGCTCATGCCTATAATCCCAGCACTTTGGGAGGCTGAGGCGGGCAGATCACTTGAGGCCAGGAGTTTAAGATCAGCCTGGCCAACATGGCAAAAACTCACCTCTACTAAAAATATAAAAATTAGCCGGACATGGTGGCATGTGCCTGTAGTCCCGGCTATTGGAGAGGCTGAGGCATGAGAATTGCTTGAACCTGGGAGGTGGAGGTTGCAGTGAGCTGAGATCATCCCACTGCACTCCTGCCTGGGTACAGAGTGAGACTCCATCTCAAAAAAAAAAAAGGAAAGGGGAAAGGAGGAAAGGAGGGAGAGCTGTGGCTAGAGAGGGCTCTAAGGTTGGGGTGATGTTTAGGTAAGAGAGACTTGAATGCTTGAATACATTTGTATGCCGAAGATAGAGGTTGAAGTCATAGAAGAAGGAGAGGTGGTGGGAAGGATGGGCTAAGGAGGGAGGATTTTAGAGGCAGAGACAAGGCTGAGGACAACTCTGAGGGACTCAATTGCTCCAGTAAAGTGAGAACCAGTAGAAAAGAGAGGAGAGGTTTAGAACCACCAAGGGGAAACTCAATAGATGATGGCCAAGAAAGACCTAGAAGGACTGTATTGTTCTAGTCAGGGTTCTCCAGAGAAACAGAATCAATAGAAGATGCATAATATGTATACATGTATATATATCCATATGCTGGGGAACAAAACACCATGGATTGGGTGGCTTAAACAGCAGAAATTAATTTTCTCACTGTACTAGAGGTTAGAAGTTCAAGATTAAGGTTCCAGCTGATTTGGTTCTAGTGAGGGCTCTCTTCTTGGTTTGCAGATGGCCACCTTCACTCTGTCCTCACATGGCCTTTTCTCTTATGTCTCTTATAAGGGCACTAATCATATTGGATCTAGGCTCTACCCCATATTACCTTATTTAACTTAATTAGTTCCTTAGAGGCCTCTACTCCAAATATAGCCACACTTGGGGTTAGGGCTTCAACATGAAGTTCTGAGGGGACACAAATACATAGTCCATAGTAATGTGTATATCTCTGTGAATGTGTATATATACATGTATAATACATATATACATGTATGTATATGCATATACATGCATGCACAAATATATACATATATGTATACATGTGCATATGCACATACATGCATACATACATGCATATATGTGCATGCATGTATATACATATGTATATGTGCATACACATATATATACACATGCATGTGCATGTATGCATACATGCATATACATAGGCACATACATACGTGTATGGATACGTGCATACATACGTGTATGCATGCATACATACATATATACACATGTATACATACATGCATATACACATACACACATATGTGTATATATATACATGCACATACACATATGTATATATACATACACATGCATACACGTATGTATATACATACACATATGTACACATATGTATCTATACATACACATAGGTACATATATGTATATATACATACATAGAGACTGAGAGTGAGACAGATAAAGAGGGGCACAGACACAGAGATTTGTTTCAAGGAATTGACTCACGTGATTGTGGAGCCTGGCAAGTCCAGAATCTGCAGGGTAGGCCAGCAGGCTGAAGTCCCACGAAAGAGTCGATGTTGCAGTTCAAGTCTGAAAGCAGTCGTCTGGCAGAATTCATTCTTTTACAGGGAAGTCAGTCTTTTTTTTTTTTTTCTTTCTTTTTTTAAATTAAAGTCTTTGGCTGGGTGTGGTGGCTGACGCCTGTAATCCCAGCACTTTGGGAGGCCGAGGTGGGTGGATCACCTGAGGTCAGGAGTTTGAGGCCAGCCTGGGAAACATGGGGAAACCATGTCTCTACTAAAAATACAAAAATTAGCCAAGCATGATGGTGGGCACCTGTGATCCCAGCGACTTGAGAGGCTGAGGCTCAAGAATCGCTTGAACCCAGGAGGCGGAGTTTCAGTGAGCCGAGATCACACTATTGTGACAGAGTGAGACTCCGTCTCAAAAGAAAAAAAAATTAAAGCCTTTGACTGATTGGATGAGTCCTGCTTACATTACAGAGGAAGAACTGCTTTACTCAGAGTTTACTGATTTAAATGTTAATCTGAAAAAAAACTTCAGCCAGACGTGGTGGTTCACGCCTGTAATCCCAGCACTTTGGGAGGCTGAGGCGGGCAGATCACTTGAGGTCAGGCGTTCGAGACCAGCCTGACCAATATGGTGAAATCCTGTCTCTACTAAAAATACAAAAGTTAGTTGGGCGTGGTGGTGGGCCCCTATAATCCCAGCTGCTTGGGAGGCTGAGGCAGGAGAATCGCTTGAACCTGGGAAGCAGAGGTTGCAGTGAGCCGAGACCATGCCATTGCACTCCAGCTTGGGCAACAAGAACCAAACTCTGTCTCAAAAAAAAATTAGCCAGGCGTGGTGGTGAATGCCTGTAATCCCAGCTACTCAGGAGGCTGAGGCAGGGAGAAATGCTTGAACCCGGGAGGTGGAGGTTGCAGTGACCCGAGATCATGCCACTGCACTCCAGCCTGGGCAACAGAGCGAGAGTCCGTCTCAAAAATAAATAAATAAATAAATAAATAAATAAAACAAACTTCATAGGAACATCTAGAATAATGTTTAAAATTTTTAAATTTTTGGCCAGCTGCGGTGGCCCATGCCTGTAATCCCAGCACTTTGGGAGGCCGAGGCAGGTGGATCACATGACGTCAGGAGTTCGAGACCAGCCTAACCAATATGGTGAAACCCCGTCTTTACTAAAAACACAAAAATTAGCTGGGCATGGTGGTGTGCACCTGTAGTCCCAGCTACTTAGGAGGCTAAGGCAGGAGAATCGCTTGAACCTGGGAGGCGGGGGTTGAAGTGAGCTGAGATCACACCACTACACTCCAGCCTGAGCAATAGAGCGAGATTCTGTCTCAAAAGTAAAAATAAATAAGTAAAATTTCTAAATTTTTTGTTTTAATTTATTTGTGTTTATTTATCTATTTATTTTTATTATTATTATATTTTTTTGAGACAGAGTCTCGCTTTGTCACCCAGGCTGGAGTGCAGTGGTGCGATCTGGGCTTACTGCCAGCTCTGCCTCCTGTGTTCAGCCATTCTCCCACCTCAGCCTCCGGAGTAGCTGGGATTACAGGCGCCTGCCACCACGCCCGGCTAATTTTGTTTTTGTATTTTTAGTAGAGACGGGGTTTCACTGTGTTAGCCAGGATGGTCTCGATCTCCTGACCTCGTGATCCACCCGCCTCGGCCTCCCAAAGTGCTGGGATTACAGGCGTGAGCCACCGCGCCTGGCCTGTATTTATTTTTAATTTTTGTGAGTACATACTAGATGTGCTTATTTATGGGTACGTGAGATGTTTTGATACAGGCATGCAATACATACTAATCACATCAGGGTAAATGGGGTATCCATCCCCACAAGCATTTATCCTTTGTGTTATAAACAATCCAGTTATACTGTTATTATTTTTTTTTTTTGAGACGGAGTCTCGCTCTGTCGCCCAGGCTGGAGTGCAGTGGCGCAATCTCGGCTCACTGCAAGCTCCGCCTCCCGGGTTCACGCCATTCTCCTGCCTCAGCCTCTCCGAGTAGCTGGGACTACAGGCGCCTGCCATCACGCCCAGCTAATTTTTTGTATTTTTAGTAGAGACGGGGTTTCACCATGGTCTCGATCTCCTGACCTCGTGATCCGCCCGCCTCGGCCTCCCAAAGTGCTGGGATTACAAGTGTGAGCCACCGCGCCCAGCACTTTTGGTTATTTTTAAATGTACTATGAAATTATTTTTGACTGTAGTCACACTGTTGTGCTAGCAAATACTAGGTCTTATTCATTCTTTTTTTATTTAATTAAAAATAGAGATGGGGTCTCCCTATGTTGCCCAGGCTGGTCTCAAACTCCTGGGCTCAAGCCATCCTCTCCCCTTGGCCTCCCAGAGTGCTGGGATTACAGATGTGAGTCACCACACCTGGCCTACTCATTCTACCTTTTCGGTACCCATTAACCATTCACACTTCCTCCCTTCCTCCTCCCCCTATTCCCAGTCTCTGGTAATCATCCTTCTCCTGTCTATCTCCATGATTTTTAGCTCCCACAAATAAGAAACAACATGCTGTTTGTATTTCATTTCTTTTCTTTTTTTTTTTTTTTTTTTGAGACAGAGTCTTACTCTGTCGCCCAGGCTGGAGTACAGTGTCTCAATCTTGGCTCACTGCAAACTCCGCCTCCTGGGTTCGAGCAATTTCCCTGCCTCAGCCTCTTGAGTAGCTGGGATTACAGGCATGCACCGCCATACCTGGGTAATTTTTGTATTTTTAGTATAGACGGGGTTTCATCATTTTGGCCAGGCTGGTCTTGAACTCCTGACCTCAGGTGATCCACCTGCCTCAGTCTCCCAAAGTGCTAGAATTACAGGCGTGAGCCACCGCACCCAGCCCAAAGTTTGTATTTCTGTGCCTGCCTTATTTCACTTAACATAATGACCTCCAGCTCCATCTACGTTGTTGTAAATGACAGGATCAATTTCTTTTTTTTATGGTGAATAGTATTCCATTGTGCATACGTACCACATTCCCTTTATCCATTTGTCAGTTGATGGACACTTAGGTTGCTTCCAAATCTTGGCTATTGTGAATAACGCTGCCATAAACAGGAGTGCAGATATTTTTTTATCTACTGATTTCCTTTCTTTTGGGTATATATCTAGGAGTGGAACTGCTGGATCATATGGTAGCTCTTTTTTTGTTTTTTTGAGGAACCTCCCAAGTGTTGTCTATAGAGATTGTACTAATTTACATTCCCACCAACAGTGTATGAGGGTTCCCTTTTTCTCCACATCCTCACCAGCGTTTGTTTTTGCCTGTCTTTTGGATAAAAGCCATTTTAATTAGGAATGAGATGATATCTCACTGTGGTTTTGATTTGTATTTCTCTGGTGATCAACGATGTTAAGCACCTTTTCATATACCTGTTTCCCATTTACATGTCTTCTTCTTTTTTTTTTTTTTTCTGAGACAGAGTCTTACACTGTTGCCCAGGCTGGGGTGAAGTGGTGTGATCTCCGCTCACTACAACCTCCACTTCCCAGGTTCAAGCAATTCTCCTGCCTCAGCGTCCTGAGCAGCTGGGATTACAGGTACCCGCCACCATGCCCGGCTAATTTTTTGTATTTTTAGTAGAACGGTGTTTCACTATGTTGACCAGGCTGGTCTTGAACTCCTGACCTCGTGATCCACCTGCCTCAGCCTCCCAAAGTGCTGGGATTATAGGCGTGACCCACCGCGCCCAGCCTGCATGTCTTCTTTTGAGAAATGTCTATTCGGATCTTTTGCCCATTTTTAATTGATTAGATTTTTTTTTCCTACAGAGTTGTTTGAGTTTCTTATATATTCTCCTTAGTCCCTTGTCAGATGGGTAGTTCTGCAAATATTTTATCCCATTCTGTGAGTTGTCTTTTCACTTTGCTTTGTTGTTTCCTTTGCTGTGCAGAAGCTTTTTAATTTGATGTGTCCATTCTTGCTTTGGTTGCTTGTGCTTGTGGGCTTTTACTCAAGAAATCTTTGCCCAGTCCAGTGTCCTGTAGAGTTTCCCCAGTGTTTTCTTGTATTAATTTCATAGTTTGAGGTCTCAGATTTAAGTCTTTCATCCATTTTGATTTGATTTTTATATATGATGAGAGATGGGGATCTAGTTTCATTCTTCTGCATATGGATGTCCAGTTTTCCTAGCAGTATTTATTGAAGAGACCATACTTTCTCCAATGTATGTTCTTGGCACTTTTGTCAAAAATGAGTTTACTGCAGATGTATGAATTTATTTCTGGGTTCTCTATTCTGTTCCACTGGTCTATGTGTCTGTTTTAATGCCAGTACCATCCATTTTGGTCACATTTGGTTATAGTGTATGCTGAGACCAGCTCGGTCGGGGAGACCCTAACCCAGCGGTGCTACAGGAATTAAAGACACACACACACAAATATAGAGGTGTGAAGTGGGAAATCAGGGGTCTCACAGCCTTCAGAGCTGAGAGCCCTGAACAGAGATTTACCCACATATTTATTAACAGCAAAAGAGTCATTAGCATTGTTTCTATAGATATTAAATTAACTAAAGTATCCCTTATGGGAAACGAAGGGATGGACCAAATTAAAGGAATAGGTTGGGCTAGTTGACTGCAGCAGGAGCATGTCCTTAAGGCACAGATCGCTCATGCTGTTGTTTGTGGCTTAAGAATGCCTTTAAGCAGTTTTCCACCCGGGGCAGACCAGGTGTTCCTTGCCCTCATTCCCGTAAACCCACAACCTTCCAGTGTGGGCGTTAGGGCCGTTATGAACATGTTACAGTGCTGCAGAGATTTTGTTTATGGCCAGTTTTGGGGCCAGTTTATGGCCAGATTTTGGGCGGCCTGCTCCCAACAAGTGTAGATGAAGTCCAATGTTTGTTGATTGGCTTTCTGTCTGGAAGATCAGTCTGGTGCTAAAAGTGGGGTGTTGAAGTCACCAGCTCTTATTATATTGGGGTCTATCACTCTCTTTAACACTAGTAAATTGGTTTGTATTAATTTTGTCTGGGTCCTCCTGTGTTAGGTGCATACATATTTGCAATTGTTATATCCTCTTACTGAATTGACCCATTTATCATTATATAATGGCCTTCTTTGTCTCTTCTTATAGTTTTTGTCTTGAAATCTATTTTGTCTAAGTATAGCTACTCCTGCTCTTT
The DNA here is from genome assembly GCF_000001405.40 of Homo sapiens. Lineage (NCBI taxonomy): Eukaryota > Metazoa > Chordata > Mammalia > Primates > Hominidae > Homo > Homo sapiens. The sequence goes on along the minus strand of NC_000009.12, from coordinate 36,179,898 downwards.
TCTGGGTTTCCATTGGCATGGAATATCTTTTTCCATCCCTTTATTTTCAGTCTATGTGTGTCTTTTTTTTTTTTTTAGATGGATTCTCACTCTGTTGCCCAGGCTGGAATGTGCAGTGGCATGATCTTGGCTCACTGCAACCTCTGCCTCCCAGGCTCAACCAATTCTCATGCCTCAGCCTCCCGAGTACCTAGGATTACAGGCATGCGCCACCGTGCCTGGCTAATTTTTTATGTTTTTAGTAGAGATGGGGTTTCACCATGTTGGCCAGGTCTCAAACTCCTGACCTCAAGCAGTCTGCCTGCCTCGGCCTCTCAAAGTGCTGGAATTACAGGCGTGAGCCACCGCACCTGGCCCACTCTAAGTCTTTTGATTGGTGATAGGGTTTGGCTCTGCGTCCCCACCCAAATCTCATGTTGAATTGTGATCCCCACATGTTGGAGGAGAGGCCCGGTGTGGGGTGATTGGATCAAGGGGTGAACTTCCCCCTTGCTGTTCTCATGATAGTGAATGAGTTCTTATTAGATGGTTGCTTTAAAAGTGTGCAGCACCTCCCACTTTGTTCTTTCTCTTCCTCCTGCTCCACCGTGGTAAGAAGTGCTTGTTTCCCTTTCACCTTCTGCCATAATTCTAAGTTTCCTGAGGCTTCCCAGACATGCTTCCTGTACAGCCTGAGGAACTGTGAGTCAATTAAACCTATTCTCTTCATAAACTATCCAGTTTCAGGTAGATCTTTATAGCAGTATGAGGACAGACTAACAAAATTGGTGAGTTTGGTCCCTTAACATTCAATGTTATACCAGGCACAGTGGCTCACGCCTGTAATCCCAGCACTTTGGGAGGCTGAGGTGGGTGGATCTTGAGGTCAGGAGATCAAGACCATCCTGGCTAACACGGTGAAACCCCGTCTCTACTAAAAATACAAAAAATTGCCAGGCGTGGTGGCAGGGGCCTGAAGTCCCAGCTACTCAGGAGACTGAGGCAGGAGAACCATTTGAACCTGGGAGGCGGAGGTTGCAGTGAGCTGACATCACGCCATTGCACTCCAGCCTGGGCAACAGAACCAGACTCTGTCTCAAAAAAAAAAAAAAATCAATGTTATTATTGACAAGTAAGGACTTACTCCCGCCAGTTTGTTATTTGTTTTCTGGTTGTTTTGTGGTCTTCTCTTCCTTCTTTTCTTCCTTCCTGTCTTCCTTTTAGTGAAGGTAATTTTCTCTGTGGTATGATTTAATTTCTTGCTTTTTATTTTTTGTGTATCTGTTGCATGTTTTCTGATTTCATATTATCCTGAGGCTTGCAAATACTTTTAACCCATTATTTTAAGCTGATAACAACTCAACACTGTTTGCATAAACAAATAAACTTACAAGCAAAAAGAAAACTAATAACTCTAACTTTGTCCCTCTGCTTTTTTTTTTTTTTTTTTGAGACAGAGTCTCAGTCTATCGCCCAGGCTGGAGTGCCAGTGGCACAATCTTAGCTCACTGCAACCTCTGTCTCCCGGGTTCAAGTGATTCTTCTGCCTCAGCCTCCCGAGTAGCTGAGATTACAGGCGTGTGCCACCACACCCAGCTAATTTTTGCATTTTTGGTAGAGATGGGGTTTTCACCGTATTGTCCAGGTTGGTCTCGAACTCCTGACCTCAGGCGATCTGCCCGCCTTAGCCTCCCAAAGTGCTGGGATTACAGGCATGAGCCACCACGCCCGGCCTGTCCCTCTGCTTTTTAACTTTTTTTTTTTTTTGAGACAGGGTCTTGCTTTGTCCACTCAAGCTGGAGTGCAGTGGCAGCTGGGACTACAGGTGTGCACCACAACGCCCAACTAAGTTTTGCATTTTTAGTAGAGATGGGGTTTCACCATGTTGGCCAAGCTGGTCTCAAACTCCTGACCTCAAGTGATCTGCCTGCCTTGGCCTCCCAAAGTGCTGGGATTACAGGTGTGAGCCTCTGCGCCCGGCCAATAGTCTGTCTTTTTCTGTATACTTACTATTACCAGTGAGTTTTGCATCTTCAGGTGATTTCTTTTTGCTCATTAACATCCTTTTCTTTCTGACTGAAGTATTCCCTTTAGCATTTCTTGTAGGAAAGATCTGGTGTTGATGAAATCTCTCAGCTGTTGTTTGTTTTGGAAAGTATTTCTTTTCCTTTTCTTCTTCTTTTTTTTTTTTTTTTTTTTGAGACAGAGTCTCATTCTGTCGCCCGGACTGGAGTGTATTGATGTGATCTCTGCTCACTGCAACCTCTGCCCTCCAGGTTCAAATGATTCTCCTGCCTCAGCCTCCTGAGTAGCTAGGACTCACAGGCATGAACCACTGCACCCAGCCTGTTTGGGAAAGTATTTCTCCTTCATGTTTGAAGGCTATTTTCTCCAGACATACTATTCTAGGGTAATTTTTGTTTTCCCCTTCAGCACTTTAAATATGTCATGCCACTCTTTCCTGGCCTATAATGTTTCCACTGAAAAATCTGCTGCCAGAAGTATTGGAGCTCCCTTGTATGTTATTTGTTTGTTTTCTCTTGATGCTTTTAGTATCCTTTCTTTGTCCTTGACCTTTGAGAGTTGGATTATTAAGTGCCTTGAGGTAGTTTTCTTCGGGTTAAATCTGCTTGGTATTCTATAACCTTCTTATAGTTGCATATTGATATTCTCTAGGTTTGGGAAATTCTCTGTTATTATCCCTTTGAATAAACTTTCTACTTCTATCTCTTTCTCTACCTCCTCTTTAAGGCCAATGACTGTTAGATTTGCCCTTTTGAGGCAATTTTCTAGATTTGTAGGTGTGCTTCATTTTTTTGTTGTTGTTGTTTGTTTGAGATGGAGTTTCACTCTGCCACCTAGTCTGGAGTGCAGTGGCGCCATCTTGACTCACTGCAATCTCCACCTCCCAGGTTCAAGTGATTCTCCTGCCTCGGCCTGGTGAGTAGCTGGGATTATAGGCATGCACTACCACACCTGGCTAAGTTTTGTATTTTTAGTAGTGACAAGATTTCACCATGTTGGCCAGGCTGGTCTCGAACTCCTGACCTTAGGTGATCTGCCCACCTCAGCTTCCCAAAATGTTGGGATTACACGCGTCAGCCACTGTGCCCAGCTGTGCTTCATTTTTATTCCTTTTTTTGCCTTCTCTGACTGTATATTTTCTTTTCTTTTTTTTTGAGACAGTCTCTTTCTCGCCCAGGCTGGAATGCAGTGGTGCAATCGCGGCTCATTGCAAACTGCCTCCCTGGTTGAAGTGATTCTCATGCCTTAGCCTCCTGAGTAGCTGGGACTACAGACGTGCACCACCATGCCCGGCTAATTTTTCTGTATTTTTAGTAGAGATGGGGTTTTGCCGTGTTGGCCAGGCTGGTCTCAAACTCCTGGCCTCAAGTGATCCACCTGCCTCGGCCTCCCAAAGTGCTGGGATTACAGGCATGAGCCACCGTGCCCAGCCAAGTTTTAATTATTCTTATAATTTATTTATAATATTTATTTTAATTATTCTTACTTTATAATTTCTTATTATAAAAGCAGAAATTCTGAAGTTGAAAAATGCAACTGACAACATAAGGATGCATCAGAGTCTATTAATATCAGAATTGATCAAGCAGAATTAGTGAGCTTCAAGACAAGTTATTTGAAAATACAGAGGCTGGGTGCAGTGGCCCATGCCTATAATCCAGCACTTTGGGAGGCCAAGGCAGGCAGATCACTTGAGGCCAGGAGTTTGAGACCAGCCTGGCCAACATGGCGAAACCCCGTCTCTACTAAAAATACAAAAAAATTAGCCAAGCGTGGTTGTGGGTGCCTGTAATCCCAGCTACTCAGGAGGCTGAGGCAAGAGAATTGCTTGAGTCGGGAGGTGGAGGCTGCAGTGAGCCGAGATTGTGCCACTGCACTCCAGCCTGGGCAACAAGAAACAAGAGCAAAACTCCGTCTTAAAAGAAAAAAAAAACAAAAAGAATAATTAAAACTTCTTTTAGGGCCTGGCACGGTGGCTCATGCCCGTAATCCCAGCACTTTGGGAGGTGAGGCAAGCAGATCACCTGAGGTTGGGGGTTCAAGACCAACCTGACCAAAGATGAAGAAACACCGTCTCTACTAAAAATACAAAATTAGCCGGGTCTGCTCACGCATGCCTATAATCCCAGCTACTCAGGAGGCTGAGGCAGGAGAATCGCTTGAACCCAGGAGGGAGAGGTTGCGGTGAGCTGAGATCGCACCATTTAGATCAGCTTGTTGCTTGGGCATGGGCAGCTTAGGCAATGAGAGCGAAACTCCGTCTCAAAAAAAAAAAAACAACTTCTTTTAAATTATTTCGGTCTCTTTGTTAAATTTATCTGATAGAATTCTGAATTCCTTCTCTGTGTTATCTTAAATTTTGTTGAGTTTCCTCAAAACAGCTATTTTGAATTCTCTGTCTGAAAGGTCACATATCTCTGTTTCTCCAGGATTGGTCCCTGGTGCCTTAAGGTTTGTTTGATGAGGTCATGTTTTCTTGGATGGTCTTGATGCTTATGGATATTTGTCAGTGTTTGGGCATTGAAGGGTTAGGTATTTACTGTAGTGTTTGCAGTCTGGGGTTGTTTGAACCCGTTCTTCTTGGGAAGGCTTTCCAAGTATTTGAAAGGACTTGGGTGTTGTGATCTAAGCCACATCTGCATTAGGGTGCACCCTACGCCCAGTAATGCTGCTCATAGAAATACCACCTTAGTGGTCCTGGATAAGATCTAAAAGAATTCTCTGGATTACTAGGCAGGGGCTCTTGTTCTCTTCCCTTACCTTCCCCCAAACATATGGAGTCTCTCTCTGTGTGTTGAGCCGCCTGGAGCTGGGGTGGAGTGACACAAGCATCTCTGTGGCCACCATCACTGGAAGTGCTCTGGGTCAACCTGAAGCCAGCACAGCCCTGGGGCTTACCCAAGGCCCTCTGTAACCACTACCAAGCTACTGCCTTATGTTCAAGGCCCTAGGGCTCTTCAATCAGCAGGTTGTAAAGCCAGTCAGGCTTCTGTCCTTCCCTTCAGGGCAGCGAGTTCCCCCAGGCCCTGGGTAGATCCAGAGAGGTGTCCTATTGCACTGCTGCTGAGCCGTCACACAGTTCTTCCCACTCTTCCCTCCCCTTTCCATAAGCAGAGGAGCCTCAACCCATAGCCACCACCACAAGCCCACAGGAAGTACTGCCAGGCTACTACTGATGTTCAGGTAAGACCCAAGTGCTTTTTTTTTATTTATTTACTTATTTTTTGAGACAGAGTCTGTCTCTTTTCCTCAGGCTGGAGTGATCTCAGCTCACTGCAACCCCTGCCTCCCGCGTTCAAGCGACTCTCTTGCCTAAGCCTCCGGAGTAGCTGGGATTACAGGCACATGCCACCACACACAGTTAATTTTTGTATTTTCAGTAGAGACAGGGTTTCATGATGTTGCCCAGGCTCGTCTTGAACTTCTGACCTCAAGTGATCCACCCACCTCGGACTCCCAAACTGCTGGTATTACAGGCGTGAGCCACTGCACCTGGGCCCAAGTGCTCTTCAGTCAGCTGTGGTGAATGCTGCCAGGCCTGGCCTGGACTCACCCTTCAGGGCAGTGGGCTTCCCTCTGGCCCAGTGTAGGTTCAGAAATGACATTTAAGAGCCAAGGCTTGGAATTGGGGAACCTAAGAGCCTGCTTGGTGCTCTACCCCACTGTGGCCAAGCTGGTACCTAAGGTGCAAAACAAAGTCCCCTTTACTTTTCCTTCTGCTTTTCTCAAGCAGTAGGAATCTCTCCCTGAGGTCACCACAGCTGGGAATGTGCTGGGTCTCACCTGGAGCCAGTACGTCTCTGAGTCTCACCCTAGGCTCACAGCTTACTACCTGGGTATCGCTGCTGGTTTTTCAGGGCCCAAGGGCTCTTTAATCAGCAGGTGATGAATCCTGCCTGGATTGGATTCTTCCTTTCAAGGCAGCAGGTTCCCTTCTGGCCCAGGGTGTGTCTAGAAATGTGTAGGGACTAGGGCCTGGAATAGAGGCTTTCTGACTCTGACTAGTGCCCTATCCTACTGTGGCTGAGCTGATATCCAAGATGCAAGACAGAGTCCCCTTTAGTTTTCCCTCCTGTCCCCAAGCAGAAGGAAGAGGTTTCTTTTGTAGCTGTGAGCTGTCCTGCCTGTGGTTGTAGAAGGGGTGATGCAAGCACTCCCTTAGCCAGCTGGCTGGTATCTCAGTAGGTTGCATGCCCCCCAAGTCCAATGTCTCTGAGCCCAGTTCAGCACCAGGACTTGCCTAGGAATTGTAATCCTTGTGGCCTTCAAGTTCACTCAGGGCCCCGTCTCTACTTAAATACAAAAATTAGCTGGGCGTGATGGCGCATGCCTGTAATCCCAGCTATTGGGGAGGCTGAGGCAGGAGAATGACTTGAACCCAGGAGGTGGAGGTTGCAGTGAGCTGATTGTGCCACTGCACTCCAGCCTGGGTGACAGAGCAAGACTCTGTCTCAAAAAAAAAAAAAAAAAAGAAATTAACCATCACAAAAATGATTCCATTTTAGACCATTTGAATGCATAGTGAGCTCCGCCAACAGTTCTGAGACTCTGAGAACAGAAAAAGTCCAAGCGGTGAAGGTCTGGGATTGGAAAGGAGCCTAGCCAGGACTTCCAGGACAGTAGAGGCCAAGGGAGAGAACAGTGTGAGGCGAGCCCCTGGCCTGGGTGGGGTGACAGGGATGGGGAGAGCACTTGACAGCCTATTAGGAAAGAGCCCTGGATTCTCGGGGAGACAGAGATTAACCTGTGTAGAATTCCTCCTCAGCACTCTCCCAGGGCAGATCAAGGGCCACACAATTATTTCTGAAGGGTACTGGGTGAGAGAGAGTAAGACAGAGTTCCCACCTTTTAAAGTAACAAATGCTGGGCACAGTGACTCACGCCTGTAATCCCAGCACTTTGGGAGACCGAGGTGGGAGGATTGCTTGAGCCCTGGAGTTCAAGACCAGCCTGGGAAACAAAGTGAGACCACATCACTACAAAAAATTTAAAAACAACAACAACAAAAAAAAAACTACCCAGGTGTGGTGGCAAGCACCTGTAGTCCCAGCTACTCAGTAGGCCGAGGCGGGAGGATCCCTTGAGCCCAGGAGTTTGAGGTTGCAGTGAGCTATGATTGCACCACTGCAGTCCAGCCTGGATGACAAAGTGAGATCCCATCTCAACAACAACATCAAAAGAGCAAAAATTGATCTTAGCTAGGAGAAAGGCAAGAATAAATCCTTATAAATTACTATATGATAGATGCTGGCGGTGATAGGGGATAGGGAGGTGGCCAGGGCAGCAGAGGGCAAGCACTGAAAAGATAGAAGGGACGCTAGTCATATGTGGTTGGGAAGCCCCAGAAAAGTGATTTTTGTTGGGACCCTAAAGGGCTACACACTAAGAATAAAGGTGGAAATAGTCTAAAGCCTAAATTTGAATCATATAATGCCTTGATTGAATTAAAGCGATCCAGGCTTTCTAGCACCCTTAGTCTAGCTGCTTGCCAAATGCAAAAGTAGATTCTGTTTTTTTTTTTTTTTGAGACGGAGTGTCACTCTTGTCGCCCAGACTGGAGTGCAGTGGCGTTATCTCGGCTCACTGCAAGCTCTGCCTCCCAAGTTCAAGAGATTTTCCTGCCTCAGCCTCCCGAGTAGCTGGGATTACAGGCATGTGCCACCACGCCTCGCTAATTTTGTATTTTTAGTAGAGACAGGGTTTCACCATGTTGGTCAGGCTGGCTGGTCTCAAACTCCTGACCTCGGGTGATCCACCTGCCTTGGCCTCCCAAAGTGCTGGGATTACAGGCGTGAGCAACCACCCCCGGCCTTATTATTTTTTTTTATACTAGAAACGGGATCTCACTTTATTGCTTAGGCTGGTCTCAAACTCCTGGGCTCAGGTGATCCTTCTGCCTCAGCCTTCCGAAGTGTTGGGATTACAGGCATGGGCCACTGTGCCCGACCAGGATATGTTTCTTTCTTTTCCCTTTACTGGCCTCTCTTTTATCCCCAGTCCCTCAGACTCATATTCCTGGAGAAAGTTCTCAATGTACTTGGCTTAGTAGAAACAATTGTAAGGAACCTCCAGCTTTCCCACAAATGAGACACAAACTACCGTAGCTGCATGGGCAAATACAGAAGCTAAGTAACCTTGCCTCCCCTGTTCCTTCTGCCTTCTTTTCTGAGTCTTACCCAGGTCACCTTCTCCTTCCTGGCCATGAGATTCCTCTCTCAGACCTGGGACGGGTCCTCCCCTGCTTTTGTGAAAGACCGGAGGGAAGCAGGTGCTGGAGGAGCTTGATGCTTCACAGCTCTGAGTGGATGTTTACCTGCCAATCTAGCAGATGCCTGAGAGGTGATCACAGGGGTACAGAATAGGGGACAGACATCGCCTTGGCCAGTGCCTGGGAGGGGCCTCAATTCCACCCACCAGGGGTTCCTTTCCAGGCCCTGTTGGATACCTCCAATGACATAGTGGCCCTGAGTTTCCACCCACTGGGAGCAGCCCTCCCCTAGGATCTCCACCTTCAGGGCCAAGCATGGACTGGAACACTAAGAAGGAAACAACAGGCCATCTTCCTCTCTTTCTCTCATTAAATCGTGAATAATAATGCATTTACTTATTCTCCCACTTAAAATGTTTAAATCCTTTGAAGAATCTTGCAAGGTAGCTTGGCTAGACAGCAGGCAGGACAGTCCAGTGCCTCTGGTGGAGGAGCCAGGGTCTTCCACTTGCCTGTCTTTTGGTCCAGCAAGAAGGCATTTGGATTGATGGTGTAGTCCTTTGTCTGGACATCGCTGGCAGTGGTGACACCCCCACATACAAACACCTTGCTGTCTCCAATGGAGCATATAGCATGGGACACATCCAAGGGGCAGCTGTTGGGCAAGACAGGCACTGAGGTGGTCGTCTTGCTTGCCTTCACCTTCTGCAGATTGATTTCCACACTCTGCCGGTGGCTGTGCACGCAGAGGATGTTGTCCTGTTGGAAAGAGAGCAGGGGCCGATGGTTGAACTCAATGGGGAAGGTGATACACTGGACCACGTCCCCAGTGCTGGTGTCAAAGCAGTCCACTACCCCGACCCGGGAGATATAACCTTTCACCAAGCACCGTCCAGTGACAATGTACAGATGCCTGTCTCCTTTAGTGATCACGGCGGTGCCATCCATGGGGATGCTCATCTTTCCTGCCAGGCACCAGACTTCCTTCCGCTCATCATAGCGATAGATGTTGGAGACATACCGCCTTGGGGCAATGCTCCCGCCCACTGAGTACACTGTCCCCCCACAGGTCACCATGGTGTGGAAGACAAGCCCGATGGGCAGGTCAGGCAACTTGGTCCAGGAGTTGTCATCCATGTCATACCGCCAGGCTGTCTTCAGCCCTGAAATCTGCTCAGTGGTGCCACCAGAGATGTAGATGTAGCGACCAGCAGAGGTGGCACTAAGTGCTGCTGCCCGATAGGGCATGTCTGAGAGCTTCATCCACAGGTTCTCCTGGATGATATAAGCAAACACTCCATCATTGAACTGGCCGTGGGCCTTCTGGCCACCGAGGATGACCACGGAATCAAGCAGGGCCCCTTTCCGCTGGTAGACCAGCAGGCTGCATGGCCGCTCCTGCTTGCGGTCCATCAGGACACTCTCAATCAGGGTTGTATGGGATGAGGTGTTCTCCATGCCCACCAGCTTGTTGCTGGCAAACACCAGCGTCTTATTGGAGACAGCATTGAGATTGATGTAATTGAAGAACTTCTTGAAATACTTCTCCCGATCCTCCTTCCGGAAGTACACCCAATTGATGAGTGCGCTGAGCGCCTGGTCTTCATTGAGCACGTGAAGGTTTTCATCACGGAGCAGGCGGCCAAAGATAACAGGTGGACAGCGCATGAAGTGCATGGAGCCCTCAGGACTGGCCCAGTAGTGGAAGTTGTCCCGAATGCCAGAGTAAGCTACGTCTGATACCTCTTTGAGCTCAAACAGCTCAGCCAAGAAGAGGTAGCGCAAGCAGTTGGCACGGCAGATGGACTTAATAAGGAAGTCGTTACAGTGAACTCGAAGGCGTGGTGTGTTGAAATACTGAGCCCCACGAAGCAGCTCCTCCACATTTTGCTCGGAGATCACCACCTTGCCGCTATAGAAGTAGTCCAGAAGCTGGTCCACTGTGACCGGGCTCAGGTAACTGGTGTCAATGGTGATGAAAAGCTCATCAGCGGTCTTCATGTCATTGCTGGAGATGAGGCTCCTCACCAGTGGGGAGACAGCAGCCAGCACATTGCGATGTGCAAAGAAGACGTGGTTGTCCACACTCAGGGCCATGTCCCAGTACTCTTTGCGTTTCCTCTGTCTGTTCAGGTTCTGCAGCACGAAGCTATTGTAGTTTTTCTCCGTGAATTCCAATTTCATGGTGCCTCTTGTCGGCTGAAACAGATCAGCAGCAGGTACTGGAGAGCAGACTTTCTCAGGCCTGTGGGATCAGATTGATGGTTGTTTGCAGAGCGGTTGACCAGGGAGAAGAGAGGGTGGAAGAGAGGATGATGTCATAGAGTGGATCAGGTCATCACAATGCAGGCCTCCCTGAGGCCTGTCTCAGAGGCACTGGGCCTTCCTCCCCTCTGATCTCTCCAACCTGCCAAGGCCACATACCCTAGCAGGACCTAAAGCCCTGGGCCCAGAGCTCAGGAGGAACCTCAGGGATGGGCGGCAACTTCCACCTGGGACTTTCAAACCGTAGTTAAAGGCTTCTGGAATATCAGAGCCAGTCTGGGTGGGGCAGTGGGGAGCAGTTTGTGTAGGAGAGATAAGGGGAGGTGGGGAAAGGGAAGAGATTATTAGACCTAGAAGAATCCTCCCATTTTGAGGGAAACTGAGGCCCAGAGAAGAGAAGGCACTTGCCCAAAATCACATAGCCAGTTGGAAGCCGAGCAGGGCCCAGAACCTGGGGAACCTCGCATTCTTCCTACCCTTCTGGAAGCTCCTGACTACCCAGCTTTCCCCAGTCTCTGACTCTCAACTCTCCAAGCACTCTTCCTGCCAAGGCTCCTGGGCATCAGAGAAAAGCTCTGTCCTTTGGCTTCTGACCTTGGTGGCCACAGACATCATTCTCCTTCAAAATGGAGAGGTGGAGGCCACTCCCTGGAGCAGGGATGAAGGAGTTAACCACAAACGGGGGCATGGGAGGGTCTTTAAAGACCGGATGATTTCAGCTCCTTGGCAAACTAGAATGTTCCCCCAACATTTCCAAGTGTCCAGTTGGAAAATGTTGGGGGCTTCAGTGGGTCAGCTTTCTCCATCAAAGGTGGACTTGGGCGAGTTGATCAGACTTTCTAAACCTCAGTTTCCTCCTCTGTGAGATGGAACTAATATTTGATAGTAGTACCCACTTCAAAGATTATTATGAGTTTATTTTTATTTTTATTTTTATTTTTTTGAGACAGAGTCTCGCTCTGTCACCCAGGTTGGAGTGCAGTGGTGCGATCTCAGCTTGAAACAGCCTTTGCAAAATTATGACTGAGACAGTGAAAGAGATCAACTTAACTGACTCCATCTTGCTTCTAACCTCCAAGCTGTCCTTGCTCATTCCTTGGCAAAGGCTGAACTAACTTTGGGAGAAACCTATATGTATAGTTTACGGTTTAAACAAAGACAGCCCTTTCCCAAAGCAGACCTCCTTCTTGCCTGGGGACTAGATTGCCTTTGTAGGACTAACATTAGCCACAAGATTAGAAATTATGGTTTAGGAGTCATGTAGCTGGAGGCTACAAGATTCTAACCCTCCCTAAACTGCTCCTAAGACCAGTGCTTGAGATTTCTCTTTTTTTTTTTTTTTAGACAGTTTCGCTCTTCTTGCCCAGGCCGGAGTGCAATGGTGCGTTCTCGGCTCACCACAACCTCCAACTCCCGGGTTCAAGCGTTTCTCCTGCCTCAGCCTCCTGAGTAGCTGGGATTACAGGCATGCACCACCACACCCGGCTAATTCTGTATTTTTAGTAGAGATGGGGTTTCTCTATGTTGGTCAGGCTGGTCTCAAACTCCCGACCTCAGGTGATCCACCTGCCTCAGCCTTCCAAAGTGCTGGGATTACAGGCGTGAGCCCCCGTGCCCGGCCGGTGCTTGAGATATTTTGCAGAACCTGCACTTGATGGATCAGCTGGCACCACTCAGATCAATAAACTGGCTCATCTGATCTTGTGGCCCCCAGACCCAAGAACTGACTCAGCCCAAGAAGACAGCTCCAACTCCCATGATTTCATCTCTGACCAATCAGCAGCACTCCTGGCTCACTGGCTTCCCCCTACCCACCAAGTTATCTTTAAAAACTCTGCTCCCCCAATGCTCCGGGAGACTGATTTGAGTAATAATAAAACTCCAGGCCGGGCGCGGTGCCTCATGCTTGTAATCCTAGCACTTTGGGATGCCAAGGTGGGCGGATCACCTGAGGTCATGGTTTCGAGACCAGCCTGGCCAACATGGCAAAACCCTGTCTCTACTAAAAATACAAAAATTAGTTGGGAGTGGTGGTGCATGCCTGTAATGCCTGTAATCCCAGCTACTGGGGAGACTGAGGCAGCAGAATCGCTCGAACCCGGGAGGCGGAGGTTGCAGCGTGCCCAGATCGCACCATTGCACTCCAGCCTGGGCGACAGAGTGAGACTCCGTCTCAAAAAAAAAAACCCCAAAAAACAAAAACAAAACCCTCCAGTCTCCCGCACGGCTGGCTCTGTGTGAATTACTCTTTCTCTGTTGCAATTCCCCTGTCTTTTATTACCCAACCCCCCAACCCCCCTCACCCCCCACCCCCAGTAGCTGGGATTACAGGCGCCTGTCAACATGCCCGGCAAAGTTTTGTATTTTTAGTAGAGACGAGGTTTCACCATGTTGGCCAAGCTGGTCTCGAACCCCTGACCTCAGGTGATCCGCCCGCCTCGGCCTCTCAAAGGGTTGGGATTATAGGCGTGAACCACCGTGCCCGGCCTATTATTAGAGTTTAAATGAGAAAAGGACTGGAGAGTAGTGGGCTTGTCATAAAGCTCAATCAATGCTAGCTGCCGTTTTCTTACTCATATTACACCAGTTCGCCCAGCGCCGGCGTTCGTGGCTGCTCCCTTCATAAAAACTTGTGGTCATCGTGGTTCTGGTTTCGCGGTAGCTGAGGAGGCTGTGGCTACCTCGCGTCTCTTCTGGGCCCGCCGCCCGAACCCAGTCCAGCCACGCGGTGGCGCTGGAGGGTCGTCCCCGCCCCCGAGCGCACCGCCTCTGCGCCGGGCACCACCCCAACCCCTCTCCAGGATGGAAAAGAGGCGCGGGGCGTCCCCTTTTTCGCTTTGCCTCCACGCGCCACCGTGCAAAGGCGGCAGCGCCGTGCCGTCCGCCGCGACCCTGGAATTCAAACGGCAGGATCGGGGGCTCTCAGCCTTGCAGGACTCCTTAGATTTCCCCAGACACACACCTGTCCCCACTTTACAGATGGGGACGCTGAGCCCCCAACGGAGGCGCGCCCTCCAGAGGCCAGAAGACTGTCTCCGACTCCCAGTAACAGCTGGGGGGGTTTCCTGACCCCTGCGAGTCCTTTGCGGGGAGAGAGGAGGGTGCCCGCAGACTCGGACAGATTCCTGGCTGGCGTGGGGCTCCCGGAGTCCTGTGGGGCGTCTGTGGAACTGCTGTTCGTGCAAGAAGGGGATAAGCGCCAGCTGGAGCGCCGCGGGCGGGAGGGAGGGGGAGGCAAAAGAGCCCAGTAGCCCCACCCGGACCAGCCTTTGGGAAGAGACCCCAGAGAAGGGCCTGGACTTGCATCTCGCCCAGGCATTCGCGAGAAGGTACAGAAAGGACTTACCTCTCTGATCTCCTCCAATCTGGGCCCAAGCCCCACTCTAGACCCTCGGGCCGTCCTCAGTGCCCCTCCCGGGAAATTTCAGTATCAGCCTCGGGAATCTGAGCCGTTCCAGCTCTTTCCCTCCCTGGCTTAGTCATATTCTCATTCTCATTGTCTCCCTCCCTCGTCCGTTCATTCCAGACTAGTCTTTTCCTTATTTTTAGATTTGGTAACTTGAAAATTATTTGAAAATACGCCCCTTCCCTTTTTTTTTTTTTTTTTTCTGAGATGGAGTCTCACTCTGTCCCCCAGGCTGGAGTGCAGTGGCCCGATCTCGGCTCACTGCAACCTCCGCCTCCCGGGTTCAAGTAATTTCTTGCCTCAGCCTCCCAAGTAGCTGGGATTACAGGCGCGCGCAGCCACGCCCGGCTAACTTTTGTATTTTTAGTAGAGACGGGGTTTCACCGTCTTGGCCAGGCTGGTCTTGAACTCCTGACCTCGTGATCCACCCACCTTGGCCTCCTAATGTATGGGATTACAGGCGTTAGCCACCGCACCTGGCCAAAAATACCCTTTTAAACTGAATTTGTCCACCTTCCCGCCCGAATGCGATAGAGAGACTCGGTCTCTTGGGATATGATACGTGCACAAAGTGAAGAACTTCTGTTTTCCCCATTGGAAGTAGACTTCAATTTCAGCCTCCTCCTCCGGAGACCAGTCTCCCTGGGAGAATAATTAAGCCCTTAATGCCTCTTCAGCCCTTACCTTCTGCAAAGCAGCAGCAGCAACTTGGGTGAATGATGAGGCCTCTTGGTGCTGATGCCAGACACCTTCTGGCTCCCATGGACATGCAGGCTGGCAGATCTCGCCTCCTGGGACATCTTCACCCGGGAGCAGGGGGTGGGTGGGTCAGGCCCTGCTGCTTCACACCTCCTTTGTCCTCTCCCCTGCCCTCCCACCTGCAAGCTTCAGCCTTGGGAGCATTTCAGTGGAGGAGGTGGCCATGCCTGTTTGTTTTTGTTTCAGCTCCCAGAGCACCAAGGCAGGAATGAGCTCTCTCATCAGACACTTCCAGCATTAAGTTGGGTCTGGAGGTGTCATGGGGACCTGAGAGAACTGATAGACCTAACTCCATGTGACAGACCTCGTACAGGTGGATAAATTGAAGCCCAGGGAGAGGAAGAGGCTTGCACCAGAGAGCTGTCTTCTTCCTCTGCCCTCTGGCTACAAAGGAGAGCCGCGGTTTGGTTTGTCCTTGTTCTTTTTGGATTGTGAGGCTTGCCATCTTCAAGAAATCCTTAAAAGTGAGATTAGTGCCCACCTGCTCAGCCAGCTTTGCTGTCTGGCATTTCTTTAGCCCAGGAAAGCTCCCCGGTCCAGCTTTTTCCTCAATCCAGCCAACTGTGGAAACAAACTCCAGCCCATAGAGGCTGGCTGCATGCTGGCTTCCACCACCTGGTTGTGTGTGTGTGTGTGTGTGTGTGTATGGGGGTGGGGGGGGTGACCCGAGGAGCCACCAAGAAGTTCATTGGCTGGCAGCTTGCCAGGTGGGGCCAGAAAAGGATCTCAGCAGGGTCTTTTCACCCACCGTCAGCTTCCTACCAGGCGCCACATTTTCTGTTCATGGTGTCTCCCGTTAGGAAGAGATGGTATGATTCTAATCTTTGGGGACTATCGGCTGGTATATCAGTTTGTTTGGAAGCCCTGAGGAAAATGAGGGGCATATTTTAAAGATATACAGATTTGGGCTGGAGCTAGAAAACTCAGGAACATTCAAGAATATTCTCAGCATCTCCTCCTCTTTTGTACCTCCAATAACTGGCTTCTTCGCTTCTGTGTATTTCCTATTCATAACTTGGCTTGCAAGTAGCTTTGGTTTGCCATGGCCCTAATTCCAATTTATGGCATCCTTATTTTTTTCAGTTCCACTGGTAAATTCTCTCCATAATTCTTAGCTGAAATTCCCAGTCCATGGCCAGCCTGGTGATTGGCTGCCGTTGGATCCAGTGTCCACTCTAGTCCAATCAGCTCTGTGCTGGTGGGTCAGATGGCTTAAAACTTGGCCACTTAAGCAACACAGTCCACGGGGAATGGGTTGCAGGTATTCTGGGGTTAATCGAGAGAGGGATTCAGAGTCACGGATTGTCTCAGCCATGGAGAATGAAGTATGAATCACATTGGAGGAGGTTATTACACAAAGAAAAAGATTTTATTGTCTTCTTAGTCAATATCCCTGGTGAAATTAGAGGCATAGCTTGAGACTGGTGACAGTGCAACACAGACCTTCAGGAGCTGCTTTGAGGACTGGCCTGCCCAGATGCCTGCTGTTAAGCCAGCAGCCCCCTCACTCCGGCCCCTGCCATCTTGACAGATGGAGCTGCCATGGTTTCAGGGACACTCAGCAGGGCATCTGGGTTGGTCCCTCCCACATGGACCTTGTAAAGTTGCTATTCAGGGGAACCTGGTATCGTTTCAGGCAAAACACAGAACCATATTAGCACTTCTAAGCCCCCTGCCCCGGCCGCCTCCCCGGAACATTTGGGCTTGTCGCACATTCCAGGAGGGAGCAGGAGCACAGCTGCAGCCACAGCTGCCAGGAACAGGCCTGGGCTCCCGCCCTGTGTGGGGGGAGGGCAGAGGCTGAGGGCTTCCTCTGGGGGCCCTGAGTAAGCTCACCCTCACCCCACCTCTCTGACTTCATCCATCCAAGGCCGCTTGGCCAAGAGCCCAGGCAGGGTGAGGGGCTGTCTCCCAGACCAGGCCTGGGCTGCCTAGCAGAGGTGGGGGAGGGGGAGCTTCAGGCCTAGCCCAACTCTCCAGAAACCAGGGGTAGCCTGCTGAGCTCTGAAATGCCAGAAGTTTAAGAAAAGAGGGAAGGGGGCAAGAGGTGGTGGTGGTAGTGGTACTTTGCTATTTAAAGGTAGAAGAATGCAAGGAAGTAAAACTTTTTTTCTCCATTTGTTGTTTGGCGACCCCATTGGAGAATTCCAGGAGGCATGCAGGATGACATCATGTTTTACAACTGAGAAATCTCAGTAATTCTGTAAAATGGAGTCCCTGCCTGCTCCATGTTCCTGATGGAAGCTGCTTTGTATTTATGTGCTTAAAGCTGTATTTTATGTCACATTTAAATGAGGGTTTAATAATCTTAATTATCTACCAAAAGTAGATTACGACGCATGAAGATCACATAAAATGAACTTCACTTCTCAGCATCACAAACATTTGGAATACAAAAAGTCCAGGGATGGATATTAGAAGTAAGAAAAGTACAAAAGAGGTTTGCTTAGAAATAACAAAAAATTAAAAAAAAAAAACGGATCCCCCCTCCCCCCAATCCAAATAATCGTGGTCTAGGTAACCATCGGGGTAAATGCTTCCTTTGCTCACTCCTGTAATAAGAATGAGCGCACACAGAACTGTATGTCCAAGTGTGTGTGCCAGAGACGCTCACATGCATCACACACACAAGCACATACACCCACAGGGACAGACGCACAGCCAGGTTGTGGTGGTTCTAGGCACTTCATATCCACGTTCTTAAGTCTGCCACCTTCCCATTACATTTAACAAGTTACTTCTTCGGCGGCAGGACGTTTTCTTCGAAGAAGCCCTCATTGACAACATTCCCCGCTGGGAAGTATCTGGCCACCACAAAGGAGGACCCGTCACTTGCGGACGCCTTCCCCACGCCCATCTTCTTGGTGTTCTTCCATACCATGGCCGTGAAGTGTCCTGTAGGGGAACGGGCAGAGGGAGAGGGACACGGCTGAATTAGCAGAGCCTGAAGAAGGATGTGGCAGGGGATTGTTGAACCCCTGTACCATCTTGCCAGGCTCAGGTCAGCATGGTCTTCACAGACCCCCTGCAGGGGAAGGAGAGAGAAAACACTCTGACTGCCTGACTTCTTTTTTTTTCCCCCAAGATGGAGTCTCGCTCTGTAACCCAGGCTGGAGTGCAGTGGCATGATCTTGGCTCACTGCAACCTCCACCTCCTGGGTTCGAGTGATTCTCCTGCCTCAGCCTCCCAAGTAGCTGGGACTACAGGTGCATGCCACCACGCCCAGCTAATTTTTTTGTATTTTTAGTAGAGATGAGGTTTCACCATGGTCTCGAACTCCTGACCTCAGGCGATCCACCTGCCTCAGTCTCCCAGTGCTGGGATTACAGGTGTGAGCCACTGTGCCTGGCCAGACTGCCTGAATTCTAAAGCAGGTCCTTTCTATCAGCCACACAGACCTTACCCACCTCACCACCTTCCAACAGTCTCCCAGAGATCACGACAAAGCCCAGTGGCCCCAACAATTAGGATGCCACTCTACTGCCTACTGCCTGTGTCTAACCCTGTCCCCAAGCTGTAATCTTGAAGCTCTCCAGTGATCCCCTTTTGTCTTCATCTTACTTGACACCTGAGGAACACTTCCTACTCTTCTCCTTTTCAAGGCACCCCTCCCCCTTTTGGTTTCTAGGATGCCACAGTCTCTTGCCATTCCTCCTGTCTCACTGCCTCCTCTTCCGCCTCCTCGCCCTCACTTATAGATATTGAAGGACCCACACTTCCCAGGGCTCAATCCTGGGCCCTTTTTTTTTTTTCCTCTAAGCTCTCTTTAGGGAATTTCATCTTTCCCTGGCTCCCAAATTTATTTCTCCAGCTCAAATCACTGCTCTGTGTTCCAGACATAACTAATTACTGGACATTTCCACATGGATGACTCACAGGCATCTCAGATTTAACCTTTCCAAACCTCACTCCCAGTTTTTGTCCCCCTAGATTTATTCCTCTCCCAGTCCTCCCATCTCCATCAATGGTACCTCCATGTGCACACTGCCAGGGGGAGTCTGCATCCCTCCTCTTCTTCCTTTTCCCCACAACAACCTAGTATTCAGTCTTGAAGAATCCAACTCTAAAATGCATCTCAGGTCCACCCACTCCCAAACCCTTGGTCCCAATTGCAAACTTTTCTCACATGGACCATTGCAATAGCCTCCTGACTGGTTCTATGGCATCCACCTTGGCCCCTCAAAATCATTTTCTTTTTCTTTTCTTTTTTTTTTGAGACGAGTCTCACCCTGTCACCCAGGCTGGAGTGCAGTGTCATGATCTCAGCTCACTGCAACCTCCACCTCCTTGGTTTAAGTGATCCTCCCACCTCAGCCTCCCAAGTAGCTGGGACTACAGGTGTGTGCCACCATGCCCAGCTATTTTTTTGTATTTTTAGTAGAGACAAGGTTTCACCATGTTGTCCAGGCTGGTGTTGAACTCCTGACCTCAGGTGCTCTGCCCACCTCGGCCTCCCAAACTGCTGAGATTACAGGCGTGAGCCTCATTTTCTACTTAGTATTCAGAGTGACCATTCTGAGATATAAATCATATCTATTTACTTCCCTGCTTAACAATCCTTCACTCGCTCCCCAATGCACTTAGAATGAAAGTGAATCCTTTGGTGCAGTGGCCTCCTCTCCATTCCTTGAACACACCAGAGTATGTCCCACCTCAGAACCCTTGCACATTTTTTTTCTTCTGTTTTCCTTCTTTCTTCTTCTCTTTTTTCTTCTCTCCCTCCTTCCCTTCCTCTTCTCTTTTTCTCTTCTCTTCCCTTCTTTCTGACAGGATCTCTGTCACCTAGGCTGGATGGAGTTCAGTGGCATGATCATAGCTTACTTCAGCTTCCACCTCCAGGGCTCAGGAGACCCTCCCACCTCAGCTTCCTGAGTAGCTGGGACCACAGGCACATGCCGCCACTGCCGAATCATTTTTCAAAAAGTATTTGTAAGGCCGGGCGCCGTGACTCACGCCTGCAATGCCAGCACTTCGAGAGGCCGAGGTGGGCGGATCATCTTAGGTTGGGAGTTGGAGACCAGCCTGACCAACATGGAGAAACCCCATCTCTACTAAAAATACAAAATTAGCCGGGCATGGTGGTGCATGCCTGTAATCCCAGCTAATCGGGAAGGCTGAGGCAGGAGAATTGCCTCGGTTTCCCAAAGTGCTGAGATTACAGGTATGATCCACCATGCCTGGCCAAGACACCCTTCTGATGACCAACAGCTTCTTGTCCCTTGGTCTTAGCCTAAATATCATTTGTTCAAAGAAGTCGTTTGCAAACACCCTTTTATTTATTTATTTATTTTTGAGACGGAGTCTCACCGTTGCCCAGACTGGAGTACAGTAGCGTGATCTCGGCTCACTGCAGCCTCCACCTCCCATGTTCAAGCAATTCTCCTGCCTCAGCCTTCCAAGTAGCTGGGATTACAGGTGCACGCCACTATGCCCGGCTAATTGTTGTATTTTTAGTAGAGATGGGTTTCACCATACTGGTCAGGCTGGTCTTGAACTCCTGACCTCAGGTGATTCACTCGCCTTGGCCCAGCCAAGTATTGGGATTACAGGTGTGAGCCACCATGCCCAGCCTGTAAACACCCTTTTATTTACCGACCATCTCCCTCCCAAGATATTCTTACCACACCATTTTTTCCCCTATGTACCATTCTTCCCATTTGTGTGATGCATTTGCTTGATTACTTGGTTACTGTTTGGCTCCTTCACCAGGCTATGTGTCCATATGGGCAGAGGCCAAGTTTGTTTTAATCACCAAAATGCACCCAGTACCTTGGCATAGCCTGGCACATGAAAAGTGTAAAATAAATGTTTGAAAGAATGAGTGGAACTGATGAATAAAAGTAATATAGAAGATCCATCTTGGACTCCAGTTCTGCCTTCACTAGAAGTGCAGCATTCTATGTTTTGAGCTTTTTGAGACTTCGACACATTACAGCCTCGTTCAAATCCTTCTGCTCTGAGCCAAACATCTCAGTTCCTTTTCAAGCTACTGCTCCACCCTCCAGACACCACTAGGTCTTGCTGAGGCCTCTTAGCATCAGTCTCCCATTTCTCAGGCTTCCTGTCCTTCACTCGCTTGTCCTTTCAAGCTACGAATATAGCTTAGCTTCCAAATCTCCTCCCATTTGGGAGTCAAAGAGTTGATGCTGTAATGCATTCTTTGCTCAACGATCATAAATTCTTTTTTTTTTGAGACAGAGTCTCTCTCTGTTGTCTAGGCTGGAGTGCAGTGGCGCGATCGTAGCTCACTGCAACCTCTGCCTCCTGTGTTCAAGTGATTCTCATGCCTCAGCCTCCTGAGTAGCTGGGACTACAGGTGAGCACCATCACGCCCAGCTAATTTTTGTATCTTTAGTAGAGATGGGGTTTCACCATGTTGGCCAGGCTGGTCTCAAACTCCTGACCTCAAGTGATCTGCCTGCCTCAGCCTCCCAAAGTGTTGGGATTACGGGCGTGAGCCACCATGCCTGGCCTAAATTCTTATTTCTTGGGGAGTAGAGGCAGATGTTCATCCCTTCCATCTTTATGGTTTAGCATTTACAGAGATCAATGAGACATTTATTTTCTGTGTCACAGGATGGCATTCATTTGCTAAAGCAACACTGAAGAGATTGTTCCCTCCTAAATATCTGGCTTATGATTGGGCAAGCTATGTGAGGGCACGTGCCACATCTGTTTTATTGATCACCATATACCTAGTGTTTAGCACTGGGCCTGGCACATAGTAGATGCTCAATAAACATTTGATGAGGAAAGGAAGAAACGGAGGGAGGGAGGAGGAAAGTCATGATCAGAGTATCTAAGATTCCCATAGGGTGGTTAAGAAAGAAAAAAGGGCAACCACTTCACACTCAGCAGGATGGTTACTATGAAAAACAGAAACAAAAATAATAGAACATAACAAGTTTTGGCAAGGAAGTGGAGAAATTGGAACTTCTGTGCACTGCTGATGGGAATGTAAAATGGCACAGCTGCTCTGGAAGACAGTATGGCAGTTCCTCAAAAAATTAAACAGAATTGCAATGACTCAGCAATTCCACTTCTAGGTATATACCCAAAAGTACTGAAAGCAGGGATTCAGATATTTATACGCCCATGCTCCTAGCAGAGAGGTTGAAAGATTGGCCCAAAGTCACATAGCCCGGTCGGGCGCAGTGGCTCACGCCTGTAATCCCAGCACTTTGGGAGGTTGAGGTGGGCGGATCACTTGAGGTCAGGAGTTCAAGACCACCCTGGCCAATGTGATGAAACCCCGTCTCTACTAAAAATAGAAAAATTAGCCAGGTGTGGTGGCACACGCCTGTAATCCTAGCTACTGGGGAGGCTGAGGAAAGAGAATTGCTTGAACCTGGGAGGCAGAGGTTGCAATGAGCCGAGACTGTGCCATTGCACTCCAGCCTGGGTAACAGAGTGAGACTCCATCTCGAAAAAACAAAAAACAAAAAAAAAACCCACAAAGACACACAGCCCAAGTGTCCATCAACAAGTGAAAGGATAAGCAAAATGTGGGAGATATATATGTATATATGTGTATATATATATGTGTGTGTGTGTGTGTGTGTGTGTGTGTGTTTAACAGATATTATTCAGCTTTAAAAAGAAATTCTGAGGCCGGGCGTAGTGGCTCATGCCTGTAATCCTAGCACTTTGGGAAGCTAAGGCGGGTGGATCACCTGGGGTCAGGAGTTTGAGACTAGCCGGGCCAATGTGGTGAAACCCCGTCTCTACTAAAAATATAAAAATTAGCTGGTCATGGTGGTGGGTGCCTGTAACCCCAGCTACTTGGGAGGCTGAGGCAGGAGAGTCGCTTGAACCTGGGAGGCAGAGGTTGCAGTGAGCCAAGACTACACCACTGCACTCCAGCCTGGGCGACAGAATGAGACTCCATCTCAAAAAAATAAAAAATAAAAAAATAAAAATAAAAAAGAGACTGGGTGTGGTGGATCATGCCTGTATTCTCAGCACTTTGAGAGGCCAAGGTGGGCAGATCAAGAGGTCAGGAGTTCGAGACCAGCCTGGCCAACATAGTGAAACCCCATCTCTACTAAAAATACAAAAAAAAAAAAAAAAAATTAGCTGGGCATGATGGCGGGTGCCTATAATCCCAGCTACTCAGGAGGCTGAGGCAGGAGAATCGCTTGAACTCGGGAGGCAGAGGTTACAGTGAGCCAAGATCACGCCATTGCACTCCAGCCCGGGCAACAGTGTGAGACTCCGTCTCAAATAAAATATAATAAAATAAAATAAATTAAAATAAAAAGGAATTCTGACACGTGCTCTAATAAGGGTAAACCTTGAAAACATGATGCTAAGTGAAATAAGCCAGACACAAATGGGCAAATATTGTATGATTCCATTTATATGAGGTAGCTAGAATAGTTAAAACCAAAAGTAGAACAATGGTTGGGGTGGGGTGGAGATGGTTTCAGGATGAAACTGTTCCACCTCAGATCATCAGGCATTAGATTTTCATAAGGAGCATGCAACCTAGATCCCTTGCGTGAGGAATTCATAATAGGGTTCATGCTCCTATGAGAATCTAACGCCACTGCTGATCTGACAGGAGGCGGAGCTCAGGCAGTAATCTTACTCACCCAGGCTCACCTCCTGCTGTGCGGCCCAGTTCTTAACAGGCCATGGGCCCATACAGGTCCACTGCCCAGGAGTTGGGGTCCCCTGGTCTAAGGGGTACTGAGTTTTAATCTGTGAAGATGAAAAGAATTCTAGAGATGGATGGTGGCGATGATTGCATAACAGTGTAAATGTGTTTAATCCCACTGAACTGTATACCTAAAATGGTTAAAATGGTAAATTTTCAGTTATATGTGCTTTACTACAATTTCTTTTTTTTTTTTTTTTTTTTTTTTTTTAGACATGGCTTCACTCTGTTGTCCAGGCTGGAGTGCCGTGGTGCAATCATGGTTCACTGCAACCTCCAACTCCTTGACTCAAGCAATCCTCCCACGTCAGCCTCCTGTAACCAGGACCACAGGCACGTGCCACTACACCCAGCTAGTTTTTTAATTTTTTAATTTTTTAATTTTTTGAGATGGAGTCTTGCTCTGTCACCCAGGCTGGAGTGCAGTGGTGCAATCTTGGCTTACTGAAACCTTCGCCTCCCAGATTCAAGCGATTGTTGTGCCTCAGCCTCCCAAGTAGCTGGGATTACAGGCGTGCGCCACCATGCCTGGCTAATTTTTGTATTTTTAGTAGAGATAAGGTTTCACCATGTTGGCCAGGCTGGTCTCGAACTCCCAACCTCAGGTGATCCGCCCACCTCAGCCTCCCAAAGTGCTGGGATTACAGGTGTGAGCTGCCGTGCCCAGCCTAGTTTTTAATTGTTTTTGTAGAGATGGGGTCTTGCCATGTTGTCCAGGCTGGTCTGGAGCTCCTGGATGAAGGGATCCTCTTGCCTTGGCCTCCCAAAGTACTGGAGTTACAGGAATAAGCCACCACACCCAGCCTATTTTACTAAAAAATTAAAAAAAGAAAGTAGGAGAGAGAGGAAGAGACTGGTGTACACACTCTTCTAGTTCTTTAGGGAAGAGACAAAGTCGGTCCTTCCCATTGCATCCTGTGTATGGTAAGGACTGAAATAAATGTTTGTAGATTAAATTCTATTTTTTCTCCTGTAGTTAAACTCCATTTAAAACTTTTTTTTTTTGAGACAGTCTCACTCTGTTGCCCAGCCTGGAGTGCAGTGGCACGATCTCATGTCACTGCAACCTCCGCCTCCTGGGTTCAAGTGATTCTCCTGCCTCAGCCTCCTGAGTAGCTGGGATTACAGATGCACGCCACCACATCCGGCTAATTTTTGTATTTTTGGTAAAGACAGGATTCACCATATTGGCCAGGGTGGTCTCGAACTCCTGACCTCAAGTGATCCACCCGCCTTGGCCTCCCAAAGTGCTGGGATTACAGGCATGAGCCACCACGCCCAGCCATTTAAAACATTTTAAAACTTAGCTATAATTTATTTCTTTGTCTACATTGACAGAGGACTGAAAGTTACTAAATTGTTTATGAAAATAATCAAATATAAAAACGAATCCATATAGTTGACATGATACAATTGAAGCAAGAATGAAAAGAAAACAAACCCTAAGTACAATTATGCATATTTGCCACTAACTTTAAACTTGTATTAACTGCTGTTTAATAAACTCTGGTTTCCACCCAGAATAGAGGATAAAGACTGTTTGCCTATTTGCCCTTGGTTCTTAATACGTTTGGGTCACAGCTCCAGGCTCTCGGCAGCCTGGTGTCCCTACTTCTACAGGCCGTTTCCAAAGGCTCAAGTCCTTTCTCACACTAGCCTGCTCTCACAGGAGACCACATGCTTGGGCCATCGACCCTCCCACTCTCTGTCTCCCAGAAAAGGAAGAAGCTGCCATTTATCCACTGGTTGCCAAGAAAATAATTAGACACAAAGTGCACATGAGCAGCACGAGTGCCTGTGGCAGCCTTTTCCAAGCTGATGAGGCTGAGCAATCTTTCTTCTCGCGGGGGAGGTTTCTGTCTGCACAGAGGGAATTAAGCTATGGGTATTCAGAGATGAATTAAATGACACAACTTCCTTAGCAACCATCAAATACACACTGGTTTCTAACTCTAGTCCACTAACGAAGGTTCCTTTTTCTTTTTCCTAAAGGGATGACATCCTCTTTCCTGCTGTGAATCAAACTCCCTAGAATATATCTTTGAAAAACACACCAAATATGTCACAGTATATCCTCGCAAGGGAATAATGTGCAGAGGTAAGAAAGAATGAGCGAGCACTATTTGTATGCTGTGGCACAATCTCTGACAAGCATAAAACAGGTCATACGCTCTGACACCAGCGTGCGGAAAAGGGAAAAGAGAACATTTATACACACATGCTGGTGTAAGCACAGGACACCTCCGGAATGATTCACAGGAAATTGGTATCTCTCGTTGTCTCTTGGGCAGGAAAGTGCTAGGGGTCAGGGCTGGAAAGAAAACTTTTCACCTTCGATAGCTCTCAGTGTTCATATCATATAAAAATATTATTCATCAGGAGGCTAAGGTGGGAGAATCGCGTGAACCTGGAAGGTGGAGGTTGCAGTGAGCCGAGATTGTGCCACTGCACTCAGCCGGGGCAACGGAGTGAGACTCGGTCTCAAAGGGGGGGGGAAAAGATATATATATATAATATATAATATATAATATATAATATATAATATGATAAGACATTGTTTCTCTTCACTCAGCACACAGCGGTGACTGACCAGCATCCTTCATCACAAGATGCTGGCCTGGCCTGGGTGGGGCTGGGGGTGGGGATGGATTACAGGGTATTTCTTCCTATTTTGTTTTTGTTTTTGTTTTTTTTGGAGACAGTCTCACTCCTCTGTCACCCAGGCTGGAGTGCAGTGGCGAGATCTTGGCTCACCACAACCTCCGCCTCCAGGGTTCAAGCAGTTCTTGTGTCTTAGCATCCCGAGCAGCTGAGATTACAGGCACGCATCACCACACCCGGCTAATTTTTGTATTTTTAGTAGAGACGGGGTTTCACCATGTTGGCCAGGCTGATCTTGAACTCCTGACCTCAAGTGATCTGCCTGCCTCGGCTTCACAAAGTACAGGGATTACAGGTGTGAGCCACCGCACCTGGCCAAAGGGTATTTCAAAGGCTCTTTCACCTACAACAAGGACTCAGGTCAGGGAATCCATGAACAGAGATGCAGCAAGGAGGAGTTGCAGACAGGGTCTGGGGGAGGCTGAGGCAGGATGGGCATGAAGATCTTTAAGGGTCCTGCAAGCCCCCATTATGACACCACCCAAAATCTCACTCCTGTCTTAGGATCAGGCTCTGGCTGCCCCCAGGCACTGCCTGTTGGTATCTGGAATAGCACAAGGGCTGGCCGCTCTGGGATTTTCCTCTTTAGGGGTGGGGACAGTAGGGCAATGAGTGAAACGAGTAGTCAGTGATCATGGAAAGTTGGGCTCTGACTCTTGTGAGATTCCTGTTTTGGAGTGGGAGTGCTGGAAAAAGCATCAGATCAGGGACGGAAGGCATGAGAAAGGCTGCTTCCCTTTTCTAGGCCTCAGTTTCTTCCTCTTCAAAATGGGTAGAATAAAGCCCTACTTTCTTTTTTTTTTTTTTTTTTTTGAGACAGAGTCTCGCCCTTGTTGCCCAGGCTGGAGTGGGCGATCTCCGCTCACGGCAACCTCTGCCTCCCAGATTCAAGTGATTCTCCTGCTTCAGCCTCCTGAGTAGCTGGGATTACAGACACCTGTCACCACACCTGGCTTTTTTTTTTTTTTTTTTTTTTTTTTTTTGCACTTTCAGTAGAGACAGGATTTCACCATGTTGGCCAGGCCTGTCTTGCTCTTGACCTCAAGTGATTCGCCTGCCTTGGCCTCCCAAAGTTTTGGGATGACAGGCATGAGCTACTGCGCCTGGCCAAACCCTACTTTCAAATGGTATCCTGATGCTTACGTGGCAGTGGAGGCACCTTTTTTTTTTTTTTTTTTTTTTTTTGAGACAGAGTTTTGCTCTTATTGCCCAGGCTGGAGTGCAAAGGCATGATCTCGGCTCACTGCAACCTCCACCTCCCGGGTTCAAGTGATTCTCCTGCCTCAGCCTCCCGAGTAGCTGGGATTACAGGCATGCACCATCATGCCCAGCTAATTTTTGTATTTTTAGTAGAGACGGGGTTTCACCATGTTGGCCGGGCTAATCTTGAACTCCTGACCTCAGGTGATCCACCCACCTCGGCCTCCCAAAGTGCTAGGATTACAGGTGTGAGCCACCGCACCCAGCCCATGGAGGCACTTTCTAATTACCACGTGGTGCGCACACACACACGCAGAGTGCTAGTTAATAACTTGCTCGGACACATGTCCGATTGCTGAAGAATCTTGCTCATGGGAAAAGCAAATCCAGAAGCTATGAAATAAGAAGTCTTCTGGACACCATCTCTATTAAAAGAAGACAAGGTCCTGCCTACACATCCTTAATCAATAGCAGGAGCTTGTTACTGCTCCCTCCCCACACCCTTAGGTATCCTTGCCCCAGAATCACCTATTCACACTCAAAGCCCTGCCAGCCCAGCCTGGAGTCCTGCAGGGGTTAATGGAGAGGAGGAATGCCTCAGCAGATGCTTCTGCCTCTGCCCCAGAGTCCCAGGAACAATGCAATGCAACATGGTTGCAGAAACCCCCACCCAGAAGGGCGGGCAGCAAACCACAGGAAACGGTGACTGGCGCTGAGAACGTGTCACTTCCTGCTTCTGGAGCACCCCTCTAGAGGGTGGAAGGCCGCAAGGCTCTACTTGTGGGTGGAACAGGTGGGGTAGGAGGAACGAGGTGGGCAGAGAGTCCCTTTTTCTGTTTTCCTGGCACCTTCTGGTCAGAGAAACTCCCACCCACTTCTAACACCATCCTGGGCCCCAGACGCCTGAGTCGGTTTTGAGGAAAGACAAGGAGCCTGGTGAGCCCAGCAAAAGGCAGGGGGAGCCCAGGGCACAGGGCGGCTGCCCAGAGGGACCCCGGGGCACAGGGTGGCCACCCGGAGCTTTCGTCAAGGGAAGCCTTTGAGAAGGGAACATGGACCCACAGAAGGTTCCTCCCTGCACTTGAGTCACCGGCTCTCAGGATATCCCTTAGAAGCCACCTTCTCCCTCTCCCCTGGGAAGAGGGGACAGGAATTGACTCAAGTCCACACAGCAAAGGGTGCCAGAGCTAAGACTAGATCCAGGTTCTCTGCACCCCAAGCTCCTGAACTGCAAACTAGTGCAGAAAGGGGAAGGGAGAAAGCCAGGGAGGCCGCAAGGGTGGGGAAGGGTGTGGGGTGTGGAAGGAGGAGTGCCAGCAGCTTGAGCCTTCTCCTGATGGCCCCAGGGAGCCATGGCAGTTGGATCAGGAGAGCACCAGGGGCAGGGACAATTTTAGAAGTATTGAGGCTGCTGGAGAGCAGGATGGATTGCAGAAAACAAGACTAGACACAGGGTGACCAGTTCAGGAATGAAGCTCCATGCAGCTTTGGAAATCCAGTCTCCTATGACACACTCCATGAATGGGAAGAGCTCTGAGCTGGTGGGGCAGGATTCACCAGCTGGTGGCCCTCAGAGGGAGCAGAGCATGTAGCATGGGGAAGCTGGGGATGTAATGCGGAAAGGAGAGCTTTGGTCTGTGGTCAAGGTCAAGCCAGAGAAATATGGAAGAGATTAAACAGGAAGGAAAGGATTGATTTTTTTAGAGGGCTGGTTCCTCCCTGAAGTCAGACACCCAACCTGCATTGCTGCCCAGGGCCAGGCCACTGGTGAGACCCTGCCACTCACCAGTCCCCGAGGTGAAGCCAGGCTGCTGGAAGTTATAGTTCTTGATTTCACTGTACCATCTATCAGCCACCTCCTTTCCTGTGTGGAAATGACATTGTTCTAAAACTCAGCCACAAAATCCACCCACTCCCTATTCCCTGCATTTTCTCCCATCAGCCCCAAGCCACCAATGCGGCAATTAGACATCTGAGAAAGCCCCAGTCAGCTGACACATCCTGGACGCTGCTTTGCAGACTCAGGGACTCCTGCCCATGAGCATGGCCAGGCTGAAGAGTGGGCCTTCTGGGGGGCTGGGAAGAGCACTGGCCTGGGGTCAGGGAATCTGCACCTATCCCCCACAACCCATACACACTGACTTGCTGTGTAATCCTGGGCAAAGCCTTCCCTCTCTGGGCCTCTGTACAATGAAAAGGTTGAATGCAATGTACTGCAAGGGCCTTCTGATGATGCTCCGAGTTTCTAGGAGACTATACTGTCATCTCACCCCATTTGCAGCTCTTGAAACATCCATATTTGGAAAGACAATCAGGCTGGTAAGCCACGGATCTCCACTGTGGGCAGGAGGGACCTCACCTGGGGCATCCACTGTCCCCACACGTGTTGATATGGGCAGGCGTTTCCCTGGGAGCTGCTGCTCTCCGGGCCAGAGCCAGGAGCGGGGACCTCAGAGCAGTCAGTCTCAAATGTGTGCAAGAATCTTGTTAATGGGCAGATTCTGATTCAGTAGGTCTACAGAGGGACCTAGGATTCTGCATTTCTGCTTCCAGATGCTACTGCTGATCCATGTTCCACACATCAGCCTCACCTGGAGAGCATTTAACAAATACTAATGCCTGGGTCCTTCCTCAGACCAACTGTGTCTGTCTCTGGAGGAGAGACTCAGGCATTTTTTGTTTGTTTGTTTGGTTTGTTTTGTTTTCTGAGACGGAGTTTCGCTCTTGTTGCCCAAGCTGCAGTGCAATGGCGCGATCTCAGCTCACGGCAACCTCCACCTCCCAGGTTCAAGCGATTCTCCTGCCTCAGCCTCCCGAGTAGCTGGGATCACAGGCATGTGCCACCACGCCTGGCTAATTTTTCTATTTTTAGTACAGATGGGGTTTCTCCATGTTGGTCATTCTGGTCTCAAACTCCTGACCTCAGGTGATCCACCCACCTCGGCCTCCCAAAGTGCTGGGATTGCAGGCGTGAGCTACTGTGCCCAGCCTGGTATTTTTTTAAAGCTCCACAAAAGATTCCAATGTGCGACCAGAGTAGGGAAGCACTGTCTCAGAGACCACCTACCCAACCCCCTCTCTGTAGAGATGGGAAACTGGGGGCAGAGGAGGGAGGGACCTGCTCAAGGCTCCCGAGGGAGGCTGTGCGAGGCTGGAATGGACCATGTCTCCTGAACCTATGCCCTTCTCCCGGGGCCCATCGAGGGCCACAGCCTGGACTTGGGAAGGAGCCTGCAGGGTGAGGGCAAGGCCTTGGAGGGAGGGGTGGGTAGGGGGTTCCCCAGGAGTTCACACATGCCTCCCAGTGGGGGTGCCAAGGACCACGTTGCACAGGAGCCCTGGCTTAGGCTGTGCTGGGGAAACCAAGAGGACTTGGGGGATCTCCCAGGAATGTGAGGCTGGGGAGGGAGTGAGTCATTCTCCCACTGGTGTTTGGAGAAAGCTTCAGAGATCCAGACAGCTCTCCAATATTCTTCCTAAAAAGCCACATCAGGGCTGTCAGGGCCAGAGGGCCAGGAAGCTCAAGAATGTCTGGGCAGCATGGTGGGATCATTCCAGATCGAGACCTTGCATGGAGACATTGTCTTTTCCATTATTATTTTTTTTTCCAAAATGGAAAAAGCTCTATTGCTTTTCTCCTATTATAAAAGTAATACACCAGCACTACTGGTAGTGTATCACCAGTACGGTAAGAAAGTAAAATTTCTCGGGAAGAAAATAACATTTCTCAGTAGCTGGGGATGCTCTGGTGGACACAGAATCAGGCTGAGATTCTGTACAAAAGCGGTCTGTCTCCCCAACCCCCACTCCTCGGCCTGGGAGCTTCTCCGAAAGTGGGGGCCTGGTCAGTCTGACTCATCTCTGTGTCCCTGGCACCCAGCACAGGCCTGGCACTGAGCCAGCCATCAGAGACCTTGTGGTGAACTGAAGTCAGCCTGGGAGCAGATTCAGAGAGCTCTGGTTTTTCTTTCCTTTCCTGGGCCTGTGGCTACACCACGAGGGTGCTGGGGCCAGGAGGCATTTCAGGAGGACTTGTCCTTCTTCCAGCTCCCGCAGAGAGGAGAGGAGCTGAAAATGCGACCCACCTGTCTGATCATAGGATGCCCATGCAAGGTTCTCCCCACACTGGCCACGGCTGGACTCCGGGCTGTGCTTGAGGATCCTCGTGCTGGCCAGGGCCTCAGAATACCTGCAGAGTTCACAGCGCCTCCTCAGAGCAGGTGCAGTTCAGGGAACCCCCAAAGTATGTGCCCCAAGCTAGTGTGGCTGAGCTTCCTTCCCTGCCCCGGGCTCACAGAGGAGCACCACTCTTGCATGATTTCTGAGCCTCCCAGCAGTCCCATTCCACAGAGGAACAAGTCGAGGCTCAGGGGAACTAAAAGGACCTGCCCAGGTGAGTGAGAGAGTGGTTATTCAAGTGTGGTTATATCTGATCCCAAAACCCGGTCCCCAAAACCATGCAGGGCCCCCCAACGTTTTTTTTTTTTTGAGATGTTGTCTCACTCTGTCACCCAGGCTGGAGTGCAGTGGCGCAATCTTGGTTCACTGCAACCTCCACCTCCCGGGTTCAAGCAATTCTCCTGCCTCAGCCTCTCGAGTAGCTGGGACTACAGGCCCATGCCACCACACATGGCTAATTTTTGTATTTTTAGTGGAGACAAGGTTTCACCATATTGGCCAGGCCAGTCTTGAACTCCTGACCTCAGGTGATCCGCCCGCCTTGGCCTCTGAAAGTGCTGAAATTACAGGTGTGAGCCATCGTGCCTGGCCACAGGGCCCCTTTGTGACTGCAGTAGCAGCACATGAAGGGCCAAGTTACCCGGATGTGCTAGGGGACTCACTGTTGAGCCTCCCGGTTGAGGTTCTTGCAGAGCTTCAGTGGGGGGACGCCGTGCTTCTGCCGGTACTCATTGTGGGCCTTCAGGACCTCATTATGAAACTGTTTGGAAGCTGGAATGATTGCAAAATGGAGAATGGCTCAGTGCAGAGAAAACACTCATCAAAAGTATAATGGCATGCTGAAAGCAACACCCAGCTCAAACCTTAGGCCATGTGGACAGGCTGCTGCTCCCCTCCAACACCTGGCACCCCAGCCAAGTGGCCCTGCTCCACGCCACTGCTCACCCTACCTGGCATCGCGCTCCACATCTCTGCACATCTAAAGCCCGTGGATCATGTGGGGCCTTATGGGCCCTGTTAGGCATTTGGGTCTTTATCCAAGGCAATGGGAAGCCACTGAAAGGGAGCAGGGCAGTGAGCTCCATGTGTTTCTCAAAGACCTTGCTGGCTGCTGAGTGGAGGATGCACAGAAACACAGAGCAGATTTGGGGACCTGGACAGTCAGCAATAGGACTTTGGAAGTAAAATATCTGAAGGAGACCGGGTATCTCAGGCTGGACCTAGGGAGAGCAGAGGGGACTGGAATGGGCCAGAGCTGGGAGTCCAGAAAGAGGCCTCCTGGCTGGGGAGGAGGGCACCTATGCTGGGTGGGTGAAGCCAAGGAGACAGAGAGACAGACAAAGAGACGAGGGAAGGACAGCCCTGGGGAAGCAGAGTGTGAGGGCGAGTTTTAGGTGCTGACTTGACTGAATTAAGAAATACCTCGAGAATTGGTAAAGCATTATTTTGGGGTGTGTCTGTGAGAGTGTTTCCAGAGGAGACTGGTGTGTGAGTCTGAGTGGGGAAGATCTACTCTCAACGTGGGTGGGTGCCATCTAATCAGACAACCTGGGGACCCACACAGAAACCTACTGCAGGGGCAGAGCCACCGCAGAGTCCCCACTAGGACGGTGCCTAATGGAGCTGTAGAAGTGCAGCCGCCCCAAGACCCCAGAACTGTGGAGCTACCGGCATGTAACGCCCGCCTGGGAAGGCTGCAAGCACGAGGCTTCCACCCGAGAGCTGAAGCCGGACAGCCCTAAGCCATGGGGGTGGGGCTGCCTGAGGCCCTGGGGTCCAACTCCCACTCAGCATGCCCAGGAGGCAGGAGAGGGAATCAAAGAGGATTATTCTCCAGCCTTAAGATTGAATGTTTTCCCTACTGGGTTGTGCACTTACTTGGGACTGGTTACTTTCTTTCCTATTTCTCCCTTTTGGAATGAGAGTATCTATCCTATGCCTGTCCCACCAATGTATTTTGGAATAGATAACTTCTTTTGATTTCACAGGCTCACAGCTGGAAGGAATATGTCTCTGGGGGAATTGTGCCTTGACTCTCACCTGTATCTAATTTAGATGAGACTTTGGACTTTGAGTTGGTGCTGGAACAAGTTAAGACTTGGGGCTATTGGGATGGAGTGAATATATTTTGTAAGTGGGGAAGACATGAGTTTTGGGGAGCCAGGGGCAGAATGCTTTGGTTTGAACGTCCCCTCCAAAACTCATGCTAAAATTTAATTGTCAATGTAACCATGCGGAGGAGTGAGATCTTTAAGAGGTGATTAGAGGGCATTATCACAGGACTGGGCTCCTGGTAAAAGTATGAGTTTGGGCTGATCTTCTCCCCGTCTTGAGTGCTTACTTGCCCTTCTGCTCTTCCATGGGATAATGCAGCATGAGGGCCTCGCCAGATGCCAATGCCATGCTCTTGGACTTCCCAGCCTCCAGAACCGTGAGCCAAATAAACTGTTTTTTAATAAATTACCCAGTGTAATTTATAGCAGCAGAAAATGGACTAAGATGCAGAATAGGAGAAGAGTGTAGCAAAGAAAGTGGAGTTGGTGGGAGGGTGAGTGGTATGATCAGCAGGCCCAGGGCTGCAGTGGGGGAAAAGGTGAAGCCCATGCCCAATTAGGTCATGATCTCAGAAAGGGCAAAGTCAAGGAGGCTGTGGTTAGGGAGAGAATAAGTAGGTGAAGCCAAAAGCAAGCAAGATCAATAGTGAACAGAAGCCATACCAATTTGGATCTGAAATGATCCCCATCCATCCATCCATCCAACATCCTCGAACCATCCATCCATCCAACATCTTCCATTCATCTGTCCATCCACCATTCATCCAACATCATCTATACATCCATCCAACATCCTCCATCCATCCATCCAACATCCTCCCTCCATCTACCCACCCATCCACCTAATATCTTCCATACATCTATCCATGCAACATTGTCATCCATCTAACATTACTCATCCATCCAGCATCATTCATCCATACATCTACCATTCATCCAAGGTCCATCCATCTATCCTCCATTTAACTGTTCATCTGCTCTCTGAGTGCTTCCCCTGTGCCATGTCCCATATTGTGTGCTAAGGGTCCAGAGACAAGTCAGCCATGTGTTGCTCTCAAAGAGCTCCCATACGGAAGGGAGGCAGCCTTGTAAACAGACACTAGCCATGTGATAGGTGCCAAGATGCAGGTAAGCACAGGTGCAAAAGGAACTTGGAGATTAACCTAACATGGGATCAGGAAGGAGGCAACTCCCAATATGAGGCCCCAGAAATATCTGAACAGGGGCTAGCCAGCCAGGCTATGATGAAGACACTGAGCACCATACTCAGGAATCTGGGAGTTCCTTTCTCTGGAAATGGGGGTGAGTTGGATGAGTTCTGAGTGAGGGCCACAGAGGGCCCTTATGCTGAATTGGTCCCATCAGGCCACAGGCTTGTCCCTCAAAGACTGGCTGTGGGTAGTGGCAGGAAGGGTGTGAACCATAAAGGAAGTGCCACTCTCTTCCTCTGCCCCAGCTCACCTTCACTGGTGCCTTTCTTCTACTCTGCTGCCTTTCACCCGAGACTGAGGAGATGATGCAACAGGGAGTCCTAGTCCCTTTTCTCATAGCCAGATCTCCCATGTCTCCTGGGCCAAGTCAAATCCCATGGAATTTCTGAGGAGACGTGAGGGAAAGAAGACCCAGGGCTTGCCTTTGCGGGGTTTGGGGGCTGCAGACCCGGGAGCTACAGACCCAGAAGGTGAAGGTAACTGCAGGTCACACCTGCATGGTGGAGCTGTCCGTGGGCCTTCTGAGAAGGAGGAAGTAGACGCTTAGACAAAGAGTACGCGGCGCAAGCTCTAGAACTTGGGCTCAGTGAGGCTGTCCAGTGAGGTCCAGTCAGAGTAATGTGGGCAGGGCAGGGATATGGGGGCTCTGAACCCCAGGATTTGTGA
The DNA here is from genome assembly GCF_000001405.40 of Homo sapiens. Taxonomy (NCBI): domain Eukaryota; kingdom Metazoa; phylum Chordata; class Mammalia; order Primates; family Hominidae; genus Homo; species Homo sapiens. The sequence goes on along the minus strand of NC_000009.12, from coordinate 36,144,625 downwards.
GGTTTTGGTTGACAGGCAGAGGTGGGGAGACATGGAGGTGGAAACTGATCATGGGGACAGGCATTAAGGCAGAGGGCGGAGCTACAACCTGAAGTATCGGGACTTCCTGGCCAACAGACGGACCAAGCCCTTGTCAATAGGAAAAACAAAGATTTCAGGTCTACAGTGGAGAGGAGAAAAGGCAGAGGTGTTGTTTAACATGTATAGAGTTTCAGTTTTGCAACATGAAAAAGTTGTGGAGCTCTGTTGCATAGCAATGTAAATATACTTAACACTACAGAACTGTACACTTAAAAATGGTTAAGATAATACATTTTATGCTATGCATTTTTACCATGATAAACAAAAAGATTTCAGGGTTAGCATGGTAATGTGGTATTTGGGATAAGGAGTCAGAGAGGCTTTTAAAGAATATCTCACAGGGAAATGCCAGGGGCCATAGCAACTCATGGGACCCAGATGGGGGTCTCGTTGACCAGTTTAAGAAGGGTCAGCTGGGTAGCATGGCCTCCAGGAACCCATGGGTTCTTGGGCCACGGGCTGCTTCCCCAGCCTGGTCCCTGTTTTGTGCAAGAGGCAGTGGTGATTTGAGGTGTGTTGAGGCTGGAAGAGGGGTCTGATGAGGAATTGGTACAAGGATGGGGGATGTTCAGCCTGGAGAGGATCAGCCTCTGGAAGACACGGTGGAGGCCTCTGATGAATTCTGGGGCCCCAGAGGGGAAAGCTGGGGCCAGTGGGTAGAAAGGCAGGATGACAGATTTCAGCTCAGCCTAAGAAAGATCTTTCCTAGTCAAAGCTTTCTGGCGACCAAAAGGAGCTACCTCACAAGGTAGTGAGCTCTCTACCACTGAAGGAATTCAGGCAGGTGAGTCCCTCTTGGAGGGACTCAGGCCTGAGAGTCAGAGGACCTTCAAGTCCCTTCCAATCCTGAGATCCCATAAGGTCCTGCTGGGGTAGGAGTGAGAGGAGACAAGATGAACAACTGACCCAAGACGTGCAGGAGTTTCCCAAACAAGCTTCTCTCAGGAGACGCTGATCAGAACGAGTGTGAGTGTGCGGGAAAGGGCCCGTATAGGTGACACCGCAAAGGTGACGGGGGTCCCCATCTGAGTGGCAGGGTTGTCCAGGCCCATCCTAAAGTCCCTTCTAGCTCCCATGTCCCAGACAGGCCACGGTGGGTCTCGTGGGACACCACGGGAGATGCATGAGGCTGAGTGGCACGTGCAGTGGTGACCACAAATGCGTCAGGAAAGGAGGACTCCCTGGAGGAGGTGTTCCTGGCTCAGGAAGCATGAATGGAGGAGGCAACAGCACAGAAAGAGCCAGGATGAAGGGACCACGTGTATCCTGGGGCTCTGAAGAGGAGGGGGAGACAGAGGAGTAGGTGGCTTGCTAAGGGGAAGCCAGTTTAAAGGCAGCCTGAGTGCTGGAGTCAGTTTGCACTGGATCCCATAGTGCTGGAGGCCCTCAAGTCTCCTCGGCAGAGAGGGACATATAAGGCCGCTAAAAACTAGGTCACTGCACTCCCAGAATATGGGAAGTAAAAAGAAACAAAAGTGAAAGTTCCTGTGTCCAAGCAAAGCTCAATGCCCAGAAGCTGCAGCTAGGCACTGTGTCCGCCAACGCCAGGCTCCTGAGCCAGGGTTCTCTGGAAGGGGCCAGGAGGTCTTTCTGGTAATCGGTGGTGGGGGAGTCCTCTCTCCCCACTCCTGGCTGGGAGGCATAAGGGCCCCACAACCACACCTTGGGCAGCCCCAGGAGTCCCCTCCCACCAGGCAGCCAGTCCTAGCCCAGGTGGCTCCTCTGAGAGGGCCTGCCCCAGGGAGGCAAAGTTATCAGTAGCTGCCACACCTAGCAAGAAGCACACCCTACCCCCACCGAGAAAAACCCAAGAATACAGATAAAGAGGAGGAAGAAAAAGTCAAAGAAAAGTCGTCCATCTCCCAGTTAGGCAGGGAGAGCCCTCCCAGCCACCCTACGATGGGGGAAGGGCAGGGATGACGTCCTTATTTTGTAGGAGGGTAAACTGAGGCTGGAAAGTCCACACGGCCTCAGAGTGCCAACCCTGAGGAATGAGGAAGACGCAGGCTCACCCATCCCGGGCCTGCTTTCTCCTGCTCTGGCCATGTGCTGGGCCTACGCATGATCTTATTTCTCGCCATCTTCTGTGGGAGCTGCCATGACCTTACCCATGTTTTTTCTTTTCGAATTAGGAAACTGAGGCTTGAGAAGGGAAGTTACCTGCCCAAATTCCCACAACTAGTCCAGATCCTATGCAAAGCCCTGTCCTAAGCCCCCACCCCTCCTCAGGGTCACAGGCGACAAAGGGAATGATGGAAAGAGGCAGCGGGTGACTGAGGAGGCCTGGGAGGGGGATCAGGCTCAAGGACAGCTGAGGAAAGCAGTAGAAGAAAATAGACAGGGGTGGCAGCTGACTTCAGATCTCTGAAGTGAACAAAGGAGAGGAAGGAAGAGAAGAGAAGAACGAAGGCTTCTCAAGAGCCTCCTCTGTGCCAAGCGCTTTTCCAGCATACCTGGCTGAGGGACCCCAGGGGGATATCAGGGACTGCAGAGTGCAGGTTACCAGGGGGCCAGACTTGGGACTTAAAATAAAGGTCAGAGCTGCTAAAAGCCCTGGGCCTGGCTCCCCAGGGCTGAGGGAAGGGGCTGGGCTGTCTCTGCTGGGGTGGAGGGTATAGGTGTCCTAGGTGGGGCTGCACTGGGTTCTCGAAGTTCCTTCTGGAGGCCAGGCCTCTACCGCTGGAGGCTCTGTAGAGATTCTGAGGAGGACAAAAAAAAAAAAAATTAGCCATGCGTGGTGACCCACGCCTGTGGTCCCAGCTACTCGGGAGACTGAGATGGGAGGATCGCTTGAGCCCAGGAGATCGAGGCTGCAGTGAGCCATGATCGCACCACTGCACTCCAGCCTGCGTGACAGAGCAAGACCTTGACTCAAAAGAAAAAGAAAAAAAAGATTCTGAGGAGGTCTATGCCCCTCCTCTACCATTTAAACTTTTGGCTGAGACAGGCTCTTCCCTCAGCATCTTCCTCCTCTCCTGAGGCCTCCCTGAGCCCAGCCTGACTCACTCTGCCCTCTCCAGGCTCCTCATGAAAGAGCCAGTGACTGTCAGGGCCCAGGGCAGGAATTGTGAACAGGCCCCCTGCCCCCTTGGCAAAAGGCTGGAAAGCAGCCCGGTTCTGCCTTCGGGGCAAAGCTGGTTTTGCTTGTTTATCAGGAAGAAAGAATAAAAAGTTGGCAGTTTAAGGAAAAAAAAAAAAAGAATGAATTTCAGCTGGGTAACTCCTGCTCTTTAAGCCGGATCCGGGAATTTCAACAGCCAAATCCCCGCACTGCCTTTTACTGGCCATGCGATCTTGGACACGTTGCTTCAACACTCTGTGCCTCCTTTCCCCATACATAAAATGAGAACAGCAGTATCTACCTCACAAGGCTGCAGTGAGAGTTAAATGAATTAATCTATGTAAATGCTTTCGAACTGTTCTGGAATATAATGAACAGGTATTAAATGCCAACTGTAATGATTATTATTACCATCGGACAGGGACAGAAACCTTTTGGGCTTTGGCTTTAGAAGAACCTGTTCCTGCTCCTTCCGGGTCAGGTCCCCTCCTGCCCTGCCTTTACATTGACGTTTGATGGCCTTTTTCAGTCCCTCTGAGCTTGGATATTTGCTAAGTGAATGAGTGAGTGAACAAATGAATGAGGTTCTCACTCCAGCACAGCGAAGGCGGGACAGGATTCCTCTCTTCATTACAGATGAGGAAACTGGGGTGTTTGGATGGTGGGGGGCATGCGCATTGTCCAAGACCACACAGAGCCCACATTAGAGCCGGGTGTAAGAATGCCCCTCCCTTTACCCCCTCCCCTGCTCCAAATCTCCCACACTTTCCACTTTACGAATTGCTTCCTCTTTTCCAAATGGCAAGAATGATGTCTATGACGAGTTGCTCAATTGCTTACGGGAACAAGGCACCCCCTTCCCCCAAGCATCAGCCTCCCCTAGGCTGTCCCTCTCCATAGACAGTGGTTGTAATTGAAGGGGAGGCAGCCATTTTCCAGCCCTGCCTGCCTACTGTCACTCAGGCACATCCCTACCCCTCTGGGCCCCAGGTTTCCCATCTGTGTGTGAAGGAAGGATGACATCTGTGGTTTTCATAATATCTTCAAAGCAGGGAAACCCTTCCTTTGAAGGAAACCTTCAATAAAAGCAACAGATGAAAATGAAACTGCTGGGGTTGGCCTGGCCCACACAGCTTCTCCCTGCAGAGGCCTGAGGGTCCCACTCAGTAGAAAACTCCTGGGCTCGTTGGTCCCTAAAGGCCTCTCTGCTCTGATTTCCTCTGGTGCTAGGTGGATGGAGGGACACTAATATTCTTAGAGCTGATGAGAGGGTGTGTGGAAGTCCCCAGTGGCCTAGAGTTCAGGCTGGCAGGGAGCAGGGTGTCAGGGCAAGTGGTCAGTGTGGGAGAGAGGACAGGACACAGTAGGGGAGTCAGAGAGCTGAGTTCAAATTCACTGGCTTGCTTACCTGTCAGTGTGTGAGCTTGGGCAAGGTACTCAACCTCTGTAAATCTATAGAATGAGTTGATAATAACTGCCTGGCAGTGCTGTCACTAATATGGTAACATAGAAAATACTGAGCTCTTTGCCTGGCATGCAGTTGAAGATTAATCATTGGTGTCACCAGTATTAGGGACAGGAGGCTTCCACTGAGCCCAAGGTCATTGCCTTTCTCTTCCCCACCACACTTGCTGCACACCAAGTCCCAGCAGAGAAACCACAGCTGGGAGCAGGATCTGGGAGTCTTCGATCACTAGGCCAAGCGTCTTCTGGAATTTCAACTGTGCCAGCTGTGTGATGATTTTACAATAACGCCTGTTATGCCAAGCAGCTCTGGGGTGTATCTGAGGTTAAAGATGAAAAAGAGACTGGCTCCTGTGCAGTGAGGAGGAAACTGAGGCCCAGAAGGGGCAGGGACAGATTCCTTATGATGGTCTTTACAGAAGCACACAGAGCCCCTGTGAGTGCCACCTGCCCTATAGACACAGACAGCAGCCCTGGGCTGACGGCCTGGAACTTCAAGGTTGAGCTTGAGTTGAAGGACCACTGGGCACGGGGTCACCCAGAAAAGTCATTTTCTTTTAGGGACCCTAGGAGAGCCAGATATTAATACTATTCTGGGGGCTCTCGGTTTTCCGGTTGGGGTGGGGGAGTTAAATTAAATGCACGTGACTATGAGGGAGAAAGGCCTGGGTCAGAATTCTGCAAGGTCCCTGGGTGTGTGTGTGTGTGTTAGGGGTGGAGGTGGCCTCTGACTCAACCAGTTCTAACCTGCTTTCTGCCACTGGCCCCCTCCTCTCCTGAGTGAGAAGTAATCTTCCTCTGAAACCTGCCCAACCCTGCATCTCCAGGCATGGAAGCCATCATCCCATCGTGCAGGCCTCTGACCCTTCCCTCTGCTTCACAATAAGTTGTCACCAAGTCTGCCCAAGGCCACCATCTCACAAATCCATCCCATCCTCCTCTCCAGCCTCCACCCTGCCCTGGATGCCTCTGTCATCTCCTGTTTGTGACTGCGGCAGTCTCCCCTATCCTCCCTCCACCTTCTCTCCATCCATCCGATCTACCCTACACCCTGGCAACGCTCTAGTTACGCTGCTTTCAGATCAGTGCCTTTCCATGGCACCCCAGGTTCCATAAGATGAAGTCTAAATTCCCAAGACCCTCTGGGATTTGACCATCTCCTCCAGGAACCCTCGTCGGCTCCCACGCGGAGCAGTCTCCTCACCTTGAGCTCCCACCACCCTTCACCAGCACCTGTCTTGTGGTTTGGATCATTTTCCACCTCTTACTCGAGCCAGATAGTGCCTGTCTATCCCCTACATAGCTTTATGTATTCCTTTCACAATCCAAGTGGATGCACGCCCCGGCACTGGGTCCACAGCTTGATACAGAGCTGCTAGACAGTGCAAGGGAGGGAAGGAGGAAGGGGCGAACAGACAGAAGAATGGGCACACAGCTGAATATGAGCAGTTCTGGAAAACCGTGCCTTACATAAGATGCCAGAAACAACTGATTAAGGTGTAGCCTAGGCTGGGCGCACCTGTAATCCTAGCACTTTGGGAGGCTGAGGCAGGCAGATCATGAGGTCAGGAGTTCAAGACCAGCCTGACCAACACGGTGAAACCCTGTCTCTACTAAAAATACAAAAGTTAGCTGGGCGTGGTGGCGCACACCTGTAATCCCAGCTACTCAGGAGGCTGAGGCAGGAGAATGACTTGAACCTGGGAGGCGGAGGTTGCAGTGAGCCGAGATCGCACCACTGCACTCCAGCCTGGGCAACAGAAGGAGACCACGTCTCAGAAAGAAAGAAAAAAAAAAAGTAGCCTAAGGGAATTTGTGGATTTTCTCCACAAATTTCTACAGAGAAAGGAGTTGATTTCCCAAGCAGATATCTCGAAAGACTCGCTCTCATCTGCCATACTTTTGCTCCATCACCATCTGTCATCCTGTTAACTAAATGGCAACCCATTATATCACCTTTCCATACTGTGAAGAACCCCAGGGCTCATACGGCCACCCTCATTGTACAGACAGGGAGGAACAGAGGGAAGGAGGCTTGCTCAGTATCACACAGCCAGTGATTGGCTGGGCCAGGGCTGAAAGCCAGACCTGCCTCTACAGCCTAGGAAGGCTGGTTAGGACCAAGGCCAGGGAAAGCCACTTGCGCCCAGCGCTGGCATCTCCTGAGTCCAGATCTTGGAGGACAGATCCTAGAAGGGACCTAGCCTTACTCATCTGAAGTGGACAATCCGGATGAAGCAGGACTTCTGAATCCTGTTCAACAGCTGTTCTCTAAGAGCCTCCTGTGAGGCAGAAGCAATGCTGAGATAAACACGGCCCCTGGCAGCCAGGGGTGAGGACCCGGTGGGAAACAGGTCTATGGCTGAACTCTTGTCCCCGGCCCACTACAGGAAGGGCTGCAGCGAGGAAAACACCAGGTTGGGCGCTCCCTCCCGGGGGGAATCACAGATGGGCTCCAGCCCAGGAGCTGAGCCTAGAGGGATGGGATTTTCAGGCTGAGAGTTGGGGTGGTGAAGGCCCGGCAAGGAAACCTAGGGGAAGGGACCTGTGCACCAGCTTCTGGACAGCTCTAGTGTAGGGCGGAGGTAAGGGCTAGGGACCCACTCCCAGGGGCCCGAAGGCAGGACTGGAGTGTGTCCTTTCACTCTGAGGACAATGGTGAGGAAGGTGTTAGGGAGCGACAGGAGGAGAGCTGCGCTGCAGAAAGTTCATCCCGACAGCCACAGTAGAGAGGATGGGGTGCCCCAGGAGAAAGGGAGCCAGACCGAGCCTAGCACAGGGGGAGCCCGGCACGGCGCGGGCGCTCAGGAGAGAAGGAACAACAAATGGATGAGGGGGATGCTCAGGGCTGTCCTCGGGACAGCCGAGCGGGGCAAACTGCTTCGCAGCGAGAGCTGTTGTCACACTTTGGTGACTTTTCCAACTCTAAGTCTGGCCTCCTGAAACAAAGCAGAAGCCACGCCTTGGCGGGCCGCGGCGCGCAGCCCCTCAGGGTCGGGAAGCCCAACTTGGCGCGATCCCCGGCTCTCCGGCGGGGGCCTCCCTCGGGCTCGCCTTCCCCCCGGGTTCCCCGGAAACCGCGCCGGGGCGCTCCGCCCGCGCGCCCTCCACCCGCACCCCGGGCTCCCGCACTCCCCAGGACCTGGCTTGCGGCGGACGAGGGAGACGGCGAGGTCCGGGAGCGCGGGGTTCCGAACCATTCCGCAGCGGGCGAGCCCGCGGGCTCACCTGACTTGCCCATGGCCGGCTCCGCGCGCTCCTCGCTCCCCGCGGCTGCGCTGCACTGCGCTCGCCCGGCCCAGCGCCGCCCCAGAGCCCAGGACCGGGCTGATGCCGCGGCCCCTCCTCCGGCGCCGCCCGGCCCCCGCCTTATAAGGAGCGACAGCTGAGGGCGGAGGCGCCCGGGGCCACCCCGTGGGCCTCCCGGAGAGCTCACCCCTGGGAAGCAGCTCCGCGACTGCCGAGGGCTCCCCGGATGCGGCCGCGGGGCTCAAGCCTCCCGGACCCCACACCGAGCTGTCCCTTCCCGGGGCGCGTGGGGAAGCCCGCGCCTGCTGGGCCCCGGGTGGCTGCTCTGCGCCGACGCGCGGCGAGGACAGAGGGGCGCGCGGTCGCGGCACGAGGGGCGTTCCGGCCGGCGCCACCAGGGGACGGCCTCTCCCTGCCGCGGCCTGACACGACACACGCAGCCCCGGGGTGTGCCCCCATCTCCGGTGACTCTGGGCTCCGGAGGGCGGCTGGTCCGGGGAGGGGGATGCTCCTCTCCTAGGACACGCCCTCTAATGCCAGTCGGGGTGGAAGCGCCGCCGCCTCTGACCCGTCCACTCGCCCCTCATTGCCTCCCAGACCAAGCCAATTCCCACCCCTGCAGTCTGGCCCCAGACCTGTCTCCCCAACGCCCCACCTTTTCCCCATACTCCAGTCAAACTAGATGTCTTGTCATTCCCCAAACATGTTCTGGGATTTCCCACCTCCCTGCCTTTCCTCAGGCGGTCCCTCCTCCGGGAGTGCTGGCCCTGGAGCCACCATTCCAGTGCTGCCCATCCCTCGGGGTCGGCCGGTCTTTCCAACTGCCAGGTGCCCTGACCCTGGGAGCAGCACACACCAGGTACTGGGGAGATGTGGTCCCACCCATGGCCCCTGCCCCGTGGGAGAAGTGCACTTACTTGACCGCACAGCCCTAGTCACCTGTGCCAGACTTCCCGCAAGCGCTCCTTTCTGGGGAAGGGGCTCAGTACACCCCAAATGAAGGAAGCGAATTTTAAGGCTTTTCAATGAATGGGCACTGAAGTGAGCTGACCCACTGATGATAAGGCTAGAATTTGTAATACCAACGGCTTACGAATGTCCCGCAGGGCGATGGCTGGGCACTGTGCTCTCTATTCCTTTCCCCATGTCAGGCAAATACACCTACTGTATTTTAGTACCGTCATGAGTAATGACATTTCAGTCAATGCCAGACCACATATACTGTGGTAGTCCCAAGAGATTATGATACCATATTTTTACTATGTTTCTATGTTTACATCTGTTTATATATGCAAATTTTTACCATTGTGTTACAGTCACCTAAAGTATTCAGTATGGGTCAAATTGGTGCCCAACCCTGATTCAAAAGGGACTCCTGGGGCTGGGTGCGGTGGCTCACGCCTGTAATCCCAGCACTTCAGGAGGCGGAGGTGGGAGGATTCTTGAGCCCAGGAGTTCAAGACCAGCCTGAGGCAATATAGTGAGACCCCCCCTCCCATCTCTATAAACAAACAAAAGGGACTCCTGGTGCTAGGTGGGGATCTAACCCCCTCTATTCAATTCCCTCTCCCATTTTGTCAACAAATGCCTATTGAAATAATCAAATAAACACAGTAGGAAGAATTCCATGTTGCCCCTAGAATCTCTAGAAGGCTGTATTTCACATAACAAAAACTTTAAGGCCGTGGGTGGAGACAGTGAGGCTCAGCGGGCTGCTCACTGCACGCAGAGGGAAGCCCATCTGGGACCACCATGTTTCACTGACACCTTGAGGTCTGAGGACTGGAGGTGAGAGGGGCTGAGAGTGGATGCATTTCCTAACTTAGAAATTCATAACCTTAGCAGCAGGCACATGAAGGAACAGGGTGCTGAATGGAGGGTGTTAGGGCAGTGCCAAAGTCAACCCCGACCAAGGGCCGTGGGCTAGTTGGAGAGGGAGTCGCTGTCCAGGCATCAGACACAAGAGACAAATGGCCACAAAGGTCAGACACAAAGAAGAGTGATTGACCCAATGTATTGTCTTTGTGTGTGTGTGTGTGTGTGTGTGTGTGTGTGTTTTGAGACAGTCTCGCTCTGTCTCATAGGCTGGGGTGCAGTGGTGCGATCTCGGATCACTGCAACCTCCACCTCCTGGGTTCAAGCAATTCTCCTGCCTCAGCCTCCCAAGTAGCTGGGATTACAGGCATGTGCCGCCATGCCCAGCTAATTTTTTGTATTTTTAGTAGAGACGGGGTTTCACCATATTGGCCAGGCTGGCCTTGAACTCAAGTGATCTACCCACGTTGGCCTCCCAAAGTGTTGGGATTAGAGGCGTGAGCCACCCCGCCCAGCCACCACTACTCCATCTTTTAACTTTTAACCGTTTCTTTATATTTAAAATAGACATCTTATAGTTGACAAGATGCAGTTAGGTCTTTTTTTTAAATCCTGTCTGACAATATCTGCCTTTTAATTTGTATTAATACCATTCATACTTGATAACATTATTTTCTTTTTTCTTTTTGAGATGCAGTCTCCCTCTGTTGCCCAGGCTGGAGTACAGTGTCTTGATCTTGGCTCACTGCAACCTCCACCTCCCAGGTTCAAGCAATTCTGCTGCCTCAGTGCCCTCCCCTTGACCCCAGTAGCTGGGATTACAGGCATGTGCCACCACATCCAGCTAATTTTTGTGTTTTTAGTAGAAACGGGATTTCTCCATGTTGGCCAGGCTGGTCTCAAACTCCCGATCTCAGGTGATCCACCCGCCTCGGCCTCCCAAAATGCTGGGTTTACAGGCGTGAGCCAACACTCCCGGCCCGATAACATTATTTTCAAATTTGTATGGAATAAATACAAAAATTGACCAAATGTTAGGTCTTAAACTAAGCTGTAATAAATTCCTGAAAGTAGAAAAAATTCAGTCACATTTTCTGAGCACAATGTAATAAAACTAAAACTAAATAACAAAAGATTGGCTAAAAATTTTTGAATCATCTAGAAAATAAAAAAAATCCCTCTTACAGCACTGAAAGGCAAAATCAAAACACGTTCAGATATAAATGACAATCTGAATACTCTGCAGGCTGGGCGTGGTGGCTCACACCTGTAATCCTAGCACTTTGGGAAGCCAGGGCAGGTGAATCGCTTGAGAACAGGAGTTTGAGACGAGCCTGGACAATATAGAGGGACCCTGTGTCTCACAAAATTAAAAAAAAAAAATTACAAAAATTAGCCAGGTGTGGTGGCACATGCCTGTGGTCCCAGCTCCTCAGGAGGCTGAGATGGAGAATCATTTGATCCTGGGAGGTCGAGGCTGTAGTGAGCTATGATTGTGCCACTGTACTTTAGCCTGGGCAACAGAGCAAGCCCCTGTCTAAAAAAAAAAACAAAAAACAACAACAACAAAAACTTGGTAATTGTTAAGAGTGTGGAACATGGGTTTGAAGTCCTGTGGCCCAAGTTCAGTTTCTAGCTCTGCTGCCCACAGAGACTGTGGCTCTGGTTTGGGTGCTCGGGTTTCTCCATGTCTGTTTTCTCATCTGTAAAATGAAGATAATAATACTTATCTTAGATAATTTTTTTAGCGATGGTGTCTTGCTATGGTGCCCAGGCTGGAGTACAGTAGCTCACTGCAGCCTTGAATTCCTGGGTCAGATGATTGTCCTGCCTCTGCCTCCCAAGTAGCTGGGACTACAGGTGAGTGCCACTGCACCTGGCTTAGAGGATTTTTTTTTTTTTTTAAGATTGAGATCACACTCAAGGAAACTCACATCTACTTCAGTTTCTTTGGGATAAATTCCTAATCTTTCTGGGCTCCTCTCCACACCTTTGAGTTGCCTCCTCTAGACTCGGGTGCTTGGACAGGTGCATCCATCTGGCCGCGCCTGAGTCACAAGCCTTCACACAAGCACCCAGAAAGAGAACACAGTGCTAGGCGCGGTGGCTCACGCCTGTAATCCCAACACTTTGGGAAGCTGAGGTGGGCAGATCACCTGAGGTAAGGAGTTCGAGACAAACCTGACCAATGTGGTGAAACCCCGTCACTACTAAAAATACAAAAAATTAGCCTGGCATGGTGGCGCGAGACTGTAGTCTCAGCTACTCAGGAGGCTGAGGCACGAGAATCGCTTGAACCCAGGAGGTGGAGGTTGCAGTGAGCCGAGATTGTGCCACCGCACTCCAGCCTGGGCAACAGAGCGAGACTCTGTCTCAAAAAAATTAATAAAATAAATAAACAAAGAGAACCAAGGAAATTTCCCACCCCCTCTCCAAACCCCACAAGCTGCCAGAGTTAGAAAGGGTCTTTTACATTCAAATAGAGACTCTACCACATGCTGAAAAGCCAAAAACCAGCGAATGTCAATCGTATCTCCATTCTTAAAAGGAGAAATTTTGTTTCTGTCCTAAATCTGTTTTCCCAGAACATGCTGCACCCCATGACTCAGCCCCTTCTCAGTGTCTAAGCTCTTACATCATTATGAATTATTCCCCAAACTGGTTTATGAAACAAACTATGCTTTAAGCCCTCCAGTCTTTGGCTCTTGATTGGCAGAGGTTTTCGGAATAAAAAATTCACTGTAATAGCCAGTGGGTGAAAGGCCATGACAACTAGAAAAGTGGGGGAAAGAAAACTGGCAGAAAGTCTCCTTATTTTATCCTGTTATGCTTTCTTTATTATTGTGGTTAGAAAATACATGGGATGCAGCCAAAGATGTACTTAGAGGAAAGTATACAGCATGAGAAATATGAACATCGGTTGTGAGTTAGACCTGGGCTCAAAATATCTTGCTCTGCTTTTCTTTTTCTTTTTTTGAGATGGAGTCTTGCTCTGTTGCCCAGGCTGAACTGCAGTGGTATGATCTCGGCTCACTGCAGCCTCTGCCTCCTGGGTTCAAGAAATTCTCCTGGCTCAGCCTCCTGAGTAGCTGGAATTACAGGCGTGCGCCACCATGCCCGGCTGATTTTTGTATTTTTAGTAGAGACAGAGTTTCACCATGTTGGCCAGGCTGGTCTCAAACTCCTGACCTCATGATCTGCCCTCCTCGGCCTCCCAAAGTGCTGGGATTATAGGCATAAGCCACTGCACCCGGCCTTGTATACCCTTCCTAAGAGGGGAATATTTGACTCTGTGCCCAGAGGGTTGAAACCTGTAAGGAAAGAAGATTCACCATCAAAGGACTGAGAAAAAAAGTACAGACAGTAACTTCTTATAACTTAATACTTCCTTGACTTGAAAATAAAGGGATTTTAATGAAAAACTCCCTCTTATTGGCCAGGCAGGATGGCTCATGCCTGTAATCCCAGTGCCATAGGAGTCCAAGGTGGGAGGATAGCTTGGGGCCAGGAATTCAAGAGCAGCCTGGACAACATGGCAAGACCCTATCTCTACAAAAAATTAAAAATAAATAGCTGGGTGTGGCGCACACACCTGTAGTCCCTGCTACTCAGGAGGCTGAAGTGGGAGGATGGCTTGAGCCCAGGAGCTCAAGGCTGCAGTGAATTCTGATCATGCTACTGTACTCCAGCCTGGGTAATGGAGTGAGACCCTGTCTTTAAAAAAAAAAAAAAAAATTAAGTCTCTCTCTTTTTTTTTTTTTTAATTTGAGATGGAGTCTTGCTTTGTTACCCAGGCTGGAGTGTGATGGCATGATTTTGGTTCACTGCAACCTCCGCCTACCTGGTTCAAGCTATTCTCCTGTCTCAGCCTCCTAGGTAGCTGGGATTACAGGTGCTTGCCACCATCCCAGGCTAATTTTTGTATTTTTCGTAGAGACAGGGTTTCATCATATTAGTCAAGCTGGTCTCAAATTCCTGACCTCAGGTGATCTACCTGTCTCGGCCTCCCAAAGTGCTGGGATTACAAGCATGAACCACTGGGCCCAGCCAAAAAGTCTTTTCTTATTGACATCTTTTTCTTAGAATTCTGAATCTTACATGCATTGACTTATAAAAATAGTCTATTACCTAATTTGGGGTCTGGAGGGAGAAGATTCTCCCCTGATGTCTGATTTAAAAATTTCCCTAAACTGTCCTGAAACATGAGAGTTAATTTTTTTAGTTAATTTTTTTTTTTTTTTTTTTTGAGATGGAGTCTTTCTCTGTCACCCAGGCTGGAGTGCAGTGGCACAGTCTCGACTCACTACAACCTCCGCCTCCCAGGTTCAAGTGATTCTCCTGCCTCAGTCTCTCGAGTAGCTGGGATTACAGACCTTACAGGCATGTGCCACCATGCTTGGCTAGTTTTTGTATATTTAGTAGAGACGGGGTTTCACCATGTTGGCCAGGCTGGTCTCAAACTCCTGACCTCAGGTGATCCACCTGCCTCAGCCTCCCAAAATGCTGGGATTACAGGTGTGAGCCGCTGTGCCCAGCCAGTTAGTAAATCTTAAATATTATTATATTACTTATTTAAAAAGAAAAGTAAAGCACTGAACTAAAGGAGCTAGACAACAAAAAATAAGTGAAAGGAAAGAAACATAAAGAAATAGTGAATGAATGCGGAAGTGTTTCAGGGTAAAATGTATTGATGTTTTCAACTTACTTCGGAATCCATAAAAAATTAAATGGATTCAACTTTGAAACACATAAAAGGTAAGATGGATGGACAGAAGAATACATGGATAAATATAAGCAAATACAGGAAAATGTTTCTATAATAAGATTGCTATAAGATGTTTAAAATTGACTAAAGCAGTTAATGTAGATAAAAACAAAAAATTATATAGTAGAAAACAGATAAAGAGCAAGATTGAAAAATATAACCTAGAGCTGGAAGACATATCAAATAGATATATCACTACAAAATCAAATGAATAAAGAAGTCTAAAAGAAGAGAAAACTCAAATGTACCACATTAGTAATAAAAAGGGGATGTAATCTTTTTTTAGAAGTGTTCAGAAAAAACATATAGACAACTGCTCACTAATAATTTTCCTTAATTGGGCAATTTTCTAAGAAAATACAAATTATTAATATTTAAGAAGAGGAACCAGGCTGGCCAATATGGGGAAACCCCGCCTCTACTAAAAATGCAAAAAATAGCTGGGCATGGTGGCATGCGCCTGCAAGTCCCAGCTACTCGGGAGGCTGAGTCAGAAGAATCGCTTGAACCCAGGAGGCGGAGCTTGCAGTGAGCCGAGATCGCGCCATTGCACCCAGCCTGGACAACAAGAGTAAAGCTCTGTCTCAAAAACACAACACAACAAAACAAAACAAAACACCCGCAAAAACAAAAATACAAAAAATTAGCCGGGCGTGGTAGCAAGCCCCTGTAGTCCCAGCTATTCGGGAGCCTGAGGCAGGAGAATCACTTGAACCCGGAAGGCGGAAGGTTACAGTGAGCCGAGATCACGGCCACTGCACTCCAGCCTGGGCGGCAGAGAGAGAAGACGTCTCAAAAATAAATGAAATAAAATAAAAACTAGCTGGGCATAGTGGCATGTGCTGATAGTCCCAGCTATTTGGAAGGCTGAAGCAGGAGGATTGCTTAAGCCCGGGAGTTGGAGGTTGCAGTAAGCCGTGATTGCACCACTGCACTCCAGTCGGGATGACAGAGTAAGACTGTCTCGGGGAGAAGAAAAAAAAAGAAATATATTCACAATATTAATAAGTCAAAGAAAAATATACTGTAAATGGATGCTGGAATATATTTGATACAATTGAGTATTTATTACTGAGTTTAAAAAAACTCTTACTTTTCCATAGCAGAATAAAAAGAAGTCCCTTGAAACTAACAGTAAAACATGTTACGCTTAAAGCAAACATGTCATGCTTCACAATAAAACAATGGAGACATCCCCATTAAAATCCAAAACACAACAAGGTTTCTTGCAGTCCCCACTGCTATTCAATATTGTTCTGGGAGTTCTAGCCAATACTAGAGCAACAAGAAGAAATAAGAGGTATCTTATCTCTTTGAAAAAGAAAGAGCAAAGTTTTCATTATGGCTTCTCCCTGGAAAAACCTCAGAAAATCCAATAAATATAAAGTAATATGAAATTTAAAATGACAGCCAGGGGGTCCAAAAAATTTTAAAAAATCAATTGCTTTATTACATAGTATCAATAACCAGTTGGACTATGTCATGGGGGAAACATTTACAATAGCAACCACAACAACGAGTTTCAAAATCACCCAATATGGGCTTATTTCACAAACACACGACCAAATCCGTTTTATCATGAGGACTCTCTGCTCTGCTCACACGTGGCCAGACTGGGCCATTGTAGGAAGAACATGAATACTCGCCATGAGGATGCGTGCCTGCTGTGGGGCAGCTTCCTGATGATGAAGAAGGTGAGCTGGATCCAGGCGTCCACCTTCCCCCTACTCCCCTCCTTTTGGGGCCAGAGCCCAGCCCTCCACTTCAGAGCCAGCAAATCCCGGGCAGAAGGAAGTTTCTGCAATAGCCTGCACTAGTGCACTGCAGTTCTGCTCTAGGCTTTTGGTCAGAAGAGTGCCAGCAAGAAGGGGGACAAGAAGGGGCATGGGGCCTGGACTGCTTTCTTGGGTTGCAGAGGGCTGACGAATTCTTAGGGAGCTGGGTGGAGGCACTGGCAAATGTGGGCTTGATAAAGGGCTGTGAGAGGAAGACAGAGAGGAATTGAGGAGGCTGAGCAAGGTCAGGAAGGAGCATTCAGCAGAACATGGTCCAAAGGGTTAAGCCGAGAGCCCTTTCTCCAAAATGAGTGGTGCAACCGACTGAGTGCTCTTCTTGGTGTCACCCTGGCCTGCTGTGCTGGGTATCTTCTTTTTGCTCCACTTCCTTCCTTATTTCCACTCTCTGCCCTGATCTCTGCCCCAGAAGGCTGACCTGTATGACTACCAGCACAGGCTGCCTGGTCCTTGGGTTTTCAACTGGGTTCCCAGTGGGAGCTGTGAGAGGAGACCCAAGGGAGAGAAGCAATGGCTTCTCCGTTAGGCTTAGGGGTTAGAGGTGCTAACAGCTCCACTTTGAGGCCTGGCGTGTTGTACTATGCCTTGTGGTTTCCCTACATCCTGCCCACACCTTTATAAATAGCCCCTTTATTAAACTTTCCTCCAATTAATCCTAATTTGGGTGGACCATTCGTTTTCCTGCTAGGACCCTGACCAACATAAATGGTTAGCCTTCTTCTTCTTCTTTTTTTTTTTTTTTTTTTTGGATGAGACAGGGTCTCACTCAGTTGCCCAGGCGGGAGTGCAGTGGCATGATCTTGGCTCACTGCAGCCTCAACCACCCTGGCTCAAACCATTCTCCCACCTCGGCCTCCCAAGTAGCTAGGACCACAGGGACATGCCACCATGCCTTTGTATTTTTTGTAGAGATGGGGTTTCGCCATGGTGCCTAGGCTTGTCTCGAACCCCTGAGCTCAAGTGATCTGCCTGCCTCAGCCTCCCAAAGTGCTGGGATTACAGGCATGAGCCATCGCGCCCTGCCTAAGTGGTTACACTTCTGTTTGGCAAAGCAACTGGTTGCATTTGCAGTAGAGTTCAGTGGGAGATTGGTCTGGAGAAGACAGAGGAGGTGGTCTTTAGGAAAAGACCCACCCCCTGATTACCTGGTGGGTGTTGGCCAAGATAGGGCTTCCACCTATGAACCTTTAGGCAAGGATGTACCGCCCAGTAGACAACATCCCAAATATGAAACCGTTTCCCTCAATTTCCCCGCACAGGGCAGTGAGGTAACCACCTCCTCCCCATTGCAGACAGAGGAGGTACCTTGCCCTGATTACAGAGAGAGATAGATATGTACAGAGAAGGCTCTAGAAGGATTCTGCACTTATTTGTAGAGGCAGGGAGAGGAAGGTATGGGATTTTTTTTCCTTTATTTATATTTCCAAGTACTTGGGGGAAGGTGCACACGTAACTTTTACAAGGAAAAAACAATACAGTGAACTTCATTTTGGAATAATGGAAAAGTGGGTGGAGCCAGGGGACAGAGTGTTCACCCTGTGAGGCTTCCTTCCCTACCCTCTCCACCATCAGCCTAATGCCCTGAGGCTGGGCTCTAGAATGAAACTCAACCTTAGACTTGGCATTTGCTCTCTGTGTGAGGCGTTTTGCTTTGGGCCGGGAGACAACATGGTGAAAAGCACTCCCTAAACTGCCCTAGAAAGTGAGCTGGCGAACTGTGTCAGTTACTTTTTATGATTCCTGATGCTCCTTGAACCTGTTTGCTCAGACCCACCCAGGCTCACCTGGCCTTGGAACTGTTTCACTCTGCTCACCTTCTGGCATCTACCTTCATGGCAACCTCCTTTATGGCCAGTTCCATTTCTGAGAAGTACAAATCCTGCCTGGCTGCCTTGTGCCAGGGAAAGCCTGGACCTGGCCTCTGGCCGTGGCTTCACCCTGACTCCCTGTGTAACCACAGCTTGGTCCCTGTACTCTTGGTTTCTCTCTGTGTGCACCGTGGAAATCTGCCCTCCAGCCCCAAGATTGCTGGACTGCTGGAAGGACTGGCTCATCCCTGGGAATGACGCCTCTGCCTTCACTTTCTCTCAGCTTGCAAAGTGCACAACTCAAGCCTCTTCTGCAGCTGGGAGGCAGGGAAGGAAAGGCCCCTGCAGCGGGGCCTCCTGTCCCTCTGAGAATTAGAGCACCCTCTGTGGGAGTGTGTGGGCCTGACTCCCATCAGCCCAAGGCTGAAAGAGAAGCATTGAATCAAACGAAGGAAAGTGCAGTTTCTTCAGTGACGATCAGTGTTCCTGGTGGGTTTAAGTTTCCTCCCACAGTGGAGCTGAAAGAGACCCTGGCTGAACTCTAAGGGTGGGGACCAGGCCTAAGGGAACCCTGGCCCCCAGCCTGCTCAGTTATTATTTCCTCAGGAGAGTCCAGGGTGCTCACAGGACAGAGGGAAGCACTGCCTAGTAACAAGATCAGTGGATGGTCTTGAAGGTCTCGTGGCACTGAAGTTTGGGGCACACAATCCTTTGCAGGCTAGAGCTATCCAGGCTGGTCAGTGTAGCTGGAAGGGCAAGGGCAGAGGCTTAGGATGCCACTGTGGCCTGGCATTCAAGCTGGGCACATCGGATCTGCCTTATACTTCCCCACACCACGCCCCTCACAACATGTCAGCCCTGCTGTTCTACCCCTGGAACGGACCTGGACTCTGTCGTTTCTGCACCTTTGCTCAAGCTGTACCTCCTACTTAGAATGCCTTTCTCAAAGCCATCTGGCAAAGTCTCCTGGTTTCTTCCAGGCCTGGTGCAAACCAACCCTCTTTTCGAGGGCTTGCGTCTTCCCCCTTGTTAGATGCTCCCTCCCCCAACTCACACCTCCCATGGCAGGTTGCCTGTACCATTTGATCACCTTCTCCAACCTGTCCTATTAAACGCCTTGCATTTTCTTTGAGATGGGTTCTTGCTATGTTGACCAGGCTGGAAACATCTACTTCTCTAATAAAAAATCTTGTCAGTCCTGGCTATTGTCCTAGCCTGATGAGAAAAGATGTCTATGGTAGACAGTGTTATTCAAAATACTTACTGTCCCTCCCCCAACACACACAAAACACCGTGGGAGGACTGTATGTCCCCACCCTTTGAACTCTGGAGTGGCCATGTGACTTGCTTTGGTTAGTAAAACGTAGAAAGAAATGACAGCATCACTTCCAAGCAGAGAATTCAGGGCCAGCTTGTGGTCCTCTATGTCTCTTTTCTGCCCTTTGTGAGGACGCTGGAATGGGTCTGGAGTGAAGATAGTATCAGGTGTGGCAGCTGACCCACAATGGACATGTGAAGGGAACAAAATAGAAGCCTCTGTTGTAAGCCACTGAAGTTTTGGGGACTTAGCCTAAGCTGATTGGTACCACTTCTCTGGTCCCATCAGCAGCCCTCCATCTCCATATTCCCATGGTCTCCCTGCCCCAGGTGTACCCTGGAACTGGAACATCAGGACCAGCACAGTGGGGAGAACTGCCTAGTATGCAGTCTTGGAAGGCCTGAAGCTCTCTCTGTCCTTAAGGCTGAAAGCTGGGGTCTTTGTATTTGACTCTCTGTCACTGCCTGCCCTCTGGTCTGACCAACTGTGTCCTAGCTGGCCTGTTCTCCCAGGGCCCTTGGCTTGGGATAATAGCACTCCATGACTTCTTTTTTTTTTTTTTGAGACAGGGTCTCACTCTGTCTCAGGTATGAGACAGGTTGGGGTACAGTGGTGTGATCTCAGCTCACTGTAACCTCCACCTCCCAGGTTCAAGCGATTCTCCAGCCTCAGCCTCCCAAGTAGATGGGACCACAGACATGTGCCACCATACCCGGCTAATTTCCATGACTTCTTATCCCCGAGCAAAGGACACAGCTCACCTAAGGGTGATCAGTGGTTTCCTTTTTGAATGTCAACATTGCTTAGAAGCATGCATGATCATATAAAAATTATTTTTATTAAAATAGAAAAGCTTTCCAGTATATTGCATTAAAGACATTTATACAGAAAAAAGGCAATTGCAACAAGCATGCTACATCAGCACTGACATATTCTGAAAGCTTTAAGTGCCCATTTTTCAGCAACATTTTGGTATAATACGCATATCCCTATGTATTTCAGAGGGTACATATAATACTGAAAAAATACTTCATGTAAAATCTAAGTTCATGTGCATACACACAAGAAGTATTACATCAAATAGCTTATTTCAAACTGTGAAACACATTCAAAGTATTCAATTTCTTAGACAACATGCATACATTTTAATACTCAGCTTGACACTTTTAAATATATAAACCACAATTCTTTATACTTCTATATCAAAAAAGAAAGTCAGACAGAACACTTATCTACATTGTGCATATCACAAAAAGCAAATGTGTTTTCACGAATGGAAAGCACTGGGTTAACACACATGATTGTCATTTTACAAATATGGCTATTCACCTTCTTCATAATAAAATAGAAATATAATGTATTATTTACATGAACTACACATTATTTCACTTTTTGGCAATTATATAAGTAGCAGCAATTGGTTTAAAGATTGATGTTTAAAAACTCTACATTTAACTTGGATGAATACCGATGAATATATATCTGGTTAATATAAAAATTGCATAATGCAAGATGCTTTGATGCAATGTCACTTCTCCCTTTCACAAAAGTCACAGACACAAATCCGTGACCAGTGAGCCTGTTGCTTACAACATATAATTATATGAGTGTCATTTAATCAGCTTGCTTTTGCATAACACAGTAGTTGGGGTTCTGAATTAAATTTCTGTAATTTAATGCAAATTTGCCTGATAATTTACATAATTTACATAATTTCAAAGATGTTTTATCTATGTTTCATATTCTTTAATGGCAGTGGCTCTTCACTGGGACCCCTAGCTTCTAGCCAGAGTAGGTAATTATCTGTAAACAAAACAAATGCAACGGGAACCTTAAATACTTCAAAAAGAACTCTGAAATGAAGTTTGTGAACCTGATAGTACAGTGAATTATCTTTCTAAAAAGTGGTCATCTCATTTCCCAGCGATAAATTTGCTTTAGAGTGGGGGACCCTTATGGTGAGGAAATGTAAATCATATGGCAGTGGTCTACCAGGAAGAGACATTCTGTTTTCATTAGTATTTGGAACAACACATTTTAACATTTGTAAAAACAAAACAAAAATCCTACTAATATTGGCGGATTAAAAAAAAAAATACTGTGTGGCGAATAGAGGTGACATGTGCCTTTCCTTGGCCAATATTCAACTACAAACCAGCAGTCCTGAATGTCTTTTTCAAGGCAGGAGAGTGAGGTGGAGGAGCATTCTGCACTTTCCGTGGGCAGTCAGTTATATGTCCAGAGCAAGTGCAAGGCAAGGCCCAAGCTGAGGGGAAGGAGGAGGGAGTGGCAAGAAGGCCTGGCCCTGACACCGGCCGATGGCACACTGCTGGAGACCTGTACCTGGGAAATGATGAGGGCAGAGAGAGGGACATGGGACGCCAAAGTCGGGCTGTCAGAGTTGATAAGGGACTCAATCTTCTCTGCTTCTTTATTGCAGGCTTCAATCTGTGAGGAGAAACAAGGTTCCCTTAATATAAAACCACAGAACGTTTTCAACATCAAGCCAGACAAATTCCACGTATATCCTAAAAGTAGCGTGGCCTCAGAGGGCATTTACTTTCTCTTTGTCCTTCTGTTCTTATCCAAAGTAACATTTTATTATAGTTTTAGTTTATTACATAAATATAGCAGCATTAATGGAAATCAAACCAGAAAAGAAATAATTGGCCATGTGTTGTGGCTCATGCCTGTAATCCTAGCACTCTGGGAGGCCAAGGTGGGAGGGTAGCTTGAGCCCAGGAGTTCGAGACCAGCCTGGGCAATGTAGCAAGATCCCATCTCAAAGAAAAGAAAAGAAGAAAAAAGAAAAGAGAAAGACAAGAAATAATCCACAATGCCACTGCCCTAATCAATCAACTGTTTTCATTTTTCCACACCTGTTACCCACACCTCTTACCCACATTTAGACTTTATCCTTACATGGTTAGTTAGGGTCACACAGAATACAATTTTAATGTCCATTGAAACATGAAAAGGAAAACAACGACGAGATGAACTTCCTAGTGATTCACAGACTGCTTGCCTTCGTTCCCTTCCCTTGAGCCCTCACTGCCTTTGATGTTGAAACTTGGGTCTACGTGAGTGGGGTTCTACATGTCTCCAGACTGACAAAGAAACACTAGAGCCCACATGACCAGCTCTGATGGGATCTTCCTCCACAGTGGGCACACAGCTCTCAGGAGACTGGAGTCTTTTCTGGCTTTATCACTGCATGACCTGCACCAGTTCCTTCCCCGGCTTGGGCATCAGCTGCCTCGTCTGTACAATGGGTGGATTAGAGACAGTGATTTCTCGGACCCCTTCCAGCTGTGCACACTCCCAGTCACAGTATCTTAATCCCTCCCCTGCCCTGGTGCCTCTGCATCCCACTGTCAAATGTGCACCAGGTCTCAGCCACTGGCAAAGTGCTCAGTCCTTTAGAGATTGCCTTGCTTTTCTCCCTCCTGTCCCGCTGAACTTCCCAAATGCCTCCACTCCCTCACCCACGGATCCTTCCTCGGTCCTAGTTTGTGCCCACTCCCTCCTAGGTGCACCAAACTTGAAAGTGACAAGATGGCTTCACAACATGTGCTGAACTCACCTGCAGAGCTTTTGGATAGTGATCGACGGGAATGATCAGGATCACAATTTCTGATTCAATGCTGAAGTATCCAAACACATCACACTGTGGGACAGACACGTGCATGCGGATTTTCTGAAGTATTTCCAGAACTGTTATTGGCTTTTTATTTGTTACCTGGAAAGAGAAAACATGTATTACCTGAAAAAAAGAAGAATTCCTATGACTGCCTAAGCTCCCTTGCTTTGGGCTGCCAGCTGAGGAGGCTCTTTTGACCGCACAGCCCTCAGCGGAAGGCCCAACCGCAGCTTTGCTAGGCCAAATTCTGAATCTCCAGTCCATCACAATGGGGTTTTGCCTGACTGAGAAACTCTGTAGTGAAGATACATACTTTCACCAGAACCACTTTTGCAAAAAGTGACTGTTCTGAGGTAGAGGTCACAGGGTTTTTAAAAATACAGGTGTTTGTAATCAAAATGGGGCTAAATCTCTAGGTTGTGGCAAGTGTTGGGTGCAACATTTCTGGAGCCCTGTGATGGTGCAGAAAAGAGAGAGGGCAGAACTATGCAGGGAACGGGCAGGGCTCCAGAAGATCCCCTCAGGAGGCACGGGGACTGGTGTGAGGGGAGGCGACCTCAAAAGCACCTGGGCACCCACCAGTCTCTGGCTACCTGGCTCTGCCTGCAGCCCCACCTATGCTTACTGTGCCAGCAGGGGCCTTTTCTAAGAAAGGCTCACGCTGACTGTGATGTGCACAGCCAGGGTGTAGGGGGGAGGAACATGGGCTTGGGAGTCAGCCAGCCTGGGTGCAAACCCTCGTCCTACTGATTAAGGGCTATATGGCCCTGGGAAAGTTGCTTTTCTGAAGATTAGTTTCTTTATCTATGAATGAGGACAACACATTCTACTCTCTAGGATTACTGAGAGGCTTAGCAATAAGATTTCAATAGCATCTGAATATAAAGCAATTTACCTTAGCAATAGTATCCAGTTTTTCTTTGTCAAATAAAACTCTTAACATCCCAGCACATAATGGGCAACAAGCACCTGTATAACAGAAACCATTTTATGTGCGTTCAGAATTAGAAACAAAGAGAATTTAAAATCCTTAGTGAAATGTCCAGCCCTTCATTTTGGGCAGGAGAGTTACAGTGTCCTTCCCAAAGACTGTACCTTCATATAAGCTCCTTGACCAACCTGGAGTCCTCTCATCTCTACATTTACCAAAATCCTTTCTCTACCCCTGCTTTTCATCCTTCACCACTCCTTGGAGTGAGAAGGCTGTGGTGCAGATAGCATAGAGACAGCTGGCTTTTCAAGAGACCTGGGGCCTGATCCTGCTCTGCCTCAAAACTCACTGTGTGATTCTGGGCAAATGCTTCTGCCAGGCCTTGTTTCCCTGTCTGCAAAATAAGGGAGTTGGTGTTTCAGGGGTTCCATGAGTGTTTGATTCAAATTTAATTTTTTTTTTTTTTGAGACAGAGTCTCGCTCTGTTGCCCAGGCTAGAGTGCAGTGGCGCGATCTCGGCTCACTGCAAGCTCCGCCTCCCGGGTTCATGCCATTCTCCTGCCTCAGCCTCCAGAGTAGCTGGGACTACAGGTGCCCGCCACCATGCCCGGCTAATTTTTTTGTATTTTTAGTAGAGACAGGGTTTCACCGTGTTAGTCAGGATGGTTTCGATCTCCTGATCTCGTGATCCGCCTGCCTCGGCCTCCCAAAGTGCTGGGATTACAGGCGTGAGCCACCACGCCCGACCGATTCAAATTTAATTTTAAAAATTATTTTAAACTGCTAAAACCCATAACAGAATATGGCATAATCAAATATAATATTATGCCGTATTTTCACACGACAGAGATTTAACCAATCCATTAGCAGCCTCTCTGCCCTGGGCCCCTCCGATTCCCCTTCATTTCGTGTCATCGTACTTGCTGCCATCTGGTTTAGTGCAGATTTGCATGGCAACTTATGTTTGGTCTGTCACCTCCCTCAGAACATGGTCTCCAGAAGGAAAAGGGCTTTGTTTTTCTCACTGCTGTGTCCCCAGTGCTTAGAGGAGCGTCTGGCACATAGTGAAAGCTAAATAAACATTTGATGAATTAACGGATGGAGGAATGAACCTGTTAGATCCAGATTAACCTGTTCTGTGCAGACTTGGAATAAAGTCTCTTCTGCTACTTCTGTTTGACTAAGAGTGTGAGATTGTAAGGTAAGCTGTTTTAAAAAACTGTTATTGCTAAAAACAGTCTGTATGAAACAAAACTTTTCTGATTATATGCAACTAAAACAATTAAATTAGATGTTAAGGCCAATCTAAGACAACAACTATCTTCTATTTCTCTCAATTTCAAAAGTTTGTGTTCATCAAAACTACTTTAATTATTCATTAATTAGTAATTCGTTATTTGTTAACTTTGTAATAAGTAAACATTATGCATTTAATAACCCTAATTTTCATAATTGAATACTGCTTTATCTGTTTATATATTGGTGTCTGGTGTAAGATTTAGCTTGAGAAAAGGCTGCTGTATTGTTTTAAAATAGCAGGACACCAGATGATATCGAAGGCAAGCCCTAGTTTTTTAAGGTCAACCCAAAGTAGTGAGTATGATCAGCATAAGAATCTCTTCAAGACTTTCTGAAAAACGTAAATGAGCTCTCTTCTCAATGACTCACTCTCTGGAGGTGGATAAGCAAATCTTCTCAGTCCTCCCCTGTCCACCCCGATACTGCCAGCCTACCCGGTGGGATGATGGGTTTGCATCCAGCTGCCAAGAGCGAAGGACACTTGACAGAAGCACACTCGGCGACGGAGCTGTGCTCTGAGAGGACTCCGACGGCCTGGCAGTCCCCATAGTAATCGACTGCCACGCGATCCGAGTAGGCAGCACACACACTGCTGTAGGTCTCACCATTGTGCCCACATACGGGCTCGGTTGCTCTGCAAAAGGGCTGAGGGCAAACAAATCACATTTAGCCTGGAAATGTCTATGTTGTACCTTTCCCAACCAAGAGTACACAGCATGCCTCCCTATTTTCAGGAAGGAAAAAAGACACAGGTATAAATTATGAGGACCTCTTAAGTTCCTGAGGTGGGCTAAATGCTGGGGGTGGTGGTGGCGTGGGCAGCAATATGGGTGTCTCCAGATGAGCTGAAAGATTACTTTTCTCAGCCTCTCTGGGATCTGGGTGCTTATTCCATGTGAACTGATAAGAGATAAAAATCTTCTTTCCTGCTACCTCTCTCTGCTCTGCTCAGACTTCTGTTAGTATCCCAGAAGCGCCTCTTTAAGATGACCAGATCAATCTTCATGCAAATGCAGAGGTCTTATCATTTCATGCTGGGTATGGGATAAGGAGAGGGAGGAGTTGGGGGAGCAGTGGGGTAGACAGACTCTGGAGCCAACAGGTAGGTCAGGAATAGATCAGAGAAAAATCACAGCCAGGAGAAGGGAACAAGTAGGGGAAGACAGAATTCAGGGTAGATGGGATCAATGCAAATGGCACAGGGGCTCTGAGAGAAAACAAGCATGTTTCAGGGAGACATCATGATGGAATTTTTCTAACCATGAAGACCAGAGAATGTGAAGCAATCATTTTAAGTGTTAGCTGGTTGTGGGCAGCGGATGCTAGGCCCAAAGCACGGCCCCAGGGAGAGGGGCAAGCATAAAATCAGTGGTGCATGTGAGAAGCCTCAAAAGGAATTGTCCTTGGTTTTTTCTTTTTTTTTAGATGGAGTCTTGCTCTGTCACCCAGGCTGGAGTGCAATGGCATGATCTCGGCTCACTGCAACTTCCGCCTCCCGGGTTCAAGCGATTCTCCTGCCTCAGCCTCCTGAGTAGCTGGGATTACAGGCATGTGCCACCATGCCCAGCTAATTTTTGTATTTTTAGTAGAGATGGGGTTTCACCATGTTGGTCAAGCTGATCTTGAACTCCTGACCTTGTGATCCACCTCTTCTGCCTCCCAAAGTGCTGGGATTACAGGCGTGAGCCACCGCGCCCGGCCCAGTTTTTTTCCTTAAAACATAAATGCAGATTCCATAAACCTACAAAACTGAGAGATAAGCTGATGTAAAAAGACATTAAGTCTTAAAGAAAATTTCAATGACTTTTCAGTACCTTGGGAGGTGGGACTGATGTGGGAAGAGTGGGAAAACTTTTCTTGGTTTTGACTCACATTCTTCCTGCTTTGTTTCTTAGTGAGGGCCCAGAGAACTATGAGAAGTAAGAATGATGTTGACCATGCCAGGGTTGTGAAACTTTTAAGTTCTTTTCCTAGGAGTGGACTGCAAGAAGCCACTCTCTGTTCTTGCTTGTACACCAGATGTGCAAAGGTACACACACTAGCAAGATAGCTTCCAGAGTTAGGAGAAGGAGCCAGTCTTCCTTTTTAGTGGAGGACTGGGTGCTATAGATTTGACAGGATTCACAGAAGACCCTCGGCTGGTCTTACTGTTGATTCATCTGTAAAATATCATAAACCAATTTTATCCGTAGTGTACTTTGTTTTGTCAGCCAAAGCACTGTACCTGGCAGGGACCTTTGTAAGAGAGGCTTTTTCCTCTTTGGTATAAAGTGCAGAGATTGTTGTGCTCCATGTGGTCTGTGTCACAAACAGGATCTTGGACCTGGTCACACGCGAGCTGTCTTGGTACACACTCATACTGGCTACATCCAAATTTATCAAAAGTCGTCAGGCAGACCTGTGGTTTGGGTATGCACCTGAAAAAGACGAATGCAGCACCATGAGCCAATGTAGGGAGGGACTGTGGTGGGGCTAGCAAAGCACTAGATGAGGGATAGGAGGCTGAAGAGAGAGCAAGAGATGAATCAGGACAGTCCTGTCTCCAAAGAGCTTATGTAGAGTGGGAGAGTCAAGCCTGTATATACAGTAGGCTAAAAAGTAGAAAAGATGTGCACAAAGCTTGCGGGGATGAGTCATTCTCGTCTGGGGAGCCTGAAGAAAGCATGGGGAGGAGGCAGTGTTCTAGCTGGAGGCTGGGGGGGCAAAGGGGGCAGCATGGGCTTGCCAGGCTGAGAGAGCAGCCATGAACACAGGTGTGATGCTCAAGGAATGTGGTGCTGGGGAAATGGCAGGTGATCCAGAGGGCAGGAGCCAAGCAGGCACAGACAGACCTATAGCAGAAGGGCCATGATATGAGGCCAAGAGATAGGCTGGAGCCTGAGGCTGGAGGCCCTTGCATTCAGTAACAAATGAAACACTTCCACGGGCTTAACTTTCAGCTTGGCTAATATGAGTCTACCTTAAGAAAAGGCCTCAGCTGGGCACGGTGCCTCACGCCTGTAATGCTAGCACTTTGGAAGGCCGAGGCGGGTGGATCACCTGAGGTCGGGAGTCGAGACCAGCCTGACCAACATGGAGAAACCCCATCTCTACTAAAAATACAAAATTAGCCAGGCATGGTGGCGCATGCCTGTAATCCCAGCTACTCAGGAGGCTGAGGCAGGATAATCGCTTGAACCCAGGAGGCGAAGGTTGCGGTGAGCTGATATCGCGCCATTGCACCCCAGCCTGGGCAACAAGAGCAAAACTCTGTCTAAAAAAAAAAAAAAAAAAAAAGGCCTCACTCTTTGTCCTAAAATAATTCAGGTTTTTGTGCCTACAAGACCGAGGATCTGATACCAGCTGGTTGCAAATGACTGAGAGAATGCCACCATGAAGCTGGTCTTTCCTAGTAAGATGAGGACCTTGCTTCATTCTCAATTCCTGAGCTCCTTCAGAGGGGCTAGGGATGATGATTCTTTTCTTCTTTAGGCTTTTTTCTGCTTTCCTAATTTTTATAAAGGGTTTACATAACTTTCTATAAGAAGATAAGACCCATGAAAATGTTTAGCTTTCACTGGGTATTTTAAGTACTAAGGTATATAAATTTTAGTTTATAAAATAAAAGAGGAAGCATATAGTAGCTAGTGTTATTTTAATTTCAAAGGAAATGATTTATACTCTTTTTAGGGCTAACCTGCACCAAAATCACTACCACCGTCACTATGCATGAAATGGTTTGAAATTACAATGCACTTAGTTATGGTTTTATGGAAATTTAAAATATTTGAAGAGAAATAATGGAAAATAATATTTAGAACTTCATTACTTACTAACATGCCAGGGATGAGAAACAGGAATATCAGGAGAAATTTGGTAACTTTGAGAGAAAAAGCTTGATCAATTTGAGTATATGGAAATAAGAGGATCATAAAAAAAAGGTTGAGAATCTGGGGGCAAATAAAAGTAAACGTGAGCAGGGCAGAGACTTGATCTGTCTTGTTTGTTGTTATGTCCTAATGTTTAGAAAAATGCCTGGAACATCAGTAGATACTTGATGGATGAATACAATTCTTAACAATTATTATTATTATTATTATTATTATTTGAGACAGAGTCTTGCTCTGTCACCCAGGCTGGAGGGCAGTGGCGTGATCTCAGCTTACTGCAACCTCTGCTTCCCGGGTTCAAGAGAGTCTGCTGCCTCAGCCTCCTGAGTAGCTGGAATTACAGGCGTGTGCCACCACGCCCAGCTAATTTTTATATTTTTAGTAGAGATGGGATTTCACCATGTTGGCCAGGCTGGTCTTGAACTTCTGGCCTCAAGTGATTCACCCACCTCTGCCTCCCAAAGTGCTGGGATTACAGGTATGAGCCACCGTGCCCGGCCACAATTAATTATTTTTTGAACACATAATACAAGCCCATGGTGAAACTGAAAAAGTACAACATGGTATACAGTGAAAAATAGGCCTCCCTTCTACTCTTGTGTCCTAGACACCTAGTTCCCTTCCCTAGAGGCACCACTATTACCAATTTCTTTCTTTTAGTGTTTTTTGTTTTGTTTTGTTTTGTTTTTAGATGGAGTCTTGTTCTGTCCCCCAGGCTGGAGTGCAGTGGCACCATCTCGGCTTACTGCAGCCTCTGTCTCCCGGGTTCAAGCAATTCTCCTGCCTCAGCCTCCCGAGTAGCTGGGACTACAGGTGGAAGCCACCATGTCTGGCTAATTTTTGGTAGAGAAAGGGTTTCACCATGTTGCCCAGGCTAGTCTCGAACTCCTGAGCTCAAGCGATCTGCCTGCCTCGGCTTCCCAAGGTGCTGGGAATACACGTGTGAGCTACCACTTTCTTATTTATCCCTACAGATATATTTTATGTAAGGATAAGCATTTATATGTGCTAATCCAAAGGGTATGTGCATTTAAAACTGCAAATTTGGCCAAACTGCCCTCCATAGAGAATGTACCAATCCTCCTCCAGCTCCCTCTTGTATGAAAGCAGCTATTTCCCTATACCATGTTATCAAACTTTAGCTTTGCCAGTCTGATAGATGGAAAGTGGTACACAATTGTAGTTTTAATTTAATTTACATTTCTCTTAACATGAAGAAGGTTAAGCATTGTGGCAGATTGGCTAGATGTTTATCAAATTCACTTCACTTTCTTCCTGGGTATGTATATAAATTATATCTCCCAGTCTCCCTGGAATTCATTATGGCCAACGGACTGAGTTCTAGACAATGGAATGTGCCTGGAAGTAGTGATGAATGTTACTTTTAGATGTGGCCTATTAAAGCTTCTTAAGAGCAATCCCCACTATCTCCCTTCTTTTATCTGCTGTCCAGATGCAGAAGACACAGAAGAGGACTATGAGGCTGTAGGAGAAGACTGGGTCACTATATGGAAGGATCCCACGTCTCTGAATGACCACATGGAAAGCCGCCTGCTGAAGAAACAAATGGGCTCTATGTAATTATCTACTCTGTGAAATTATTGATATTTTGGAATTTGTATACAGTAGCTGGAATTACTTACCCTAACAAATAAAAGTACCTTTTCAAATGTTTAAGAACCATTTGGATTTCTTTTTTTATGTTTATGTCCTTGGTCCATTTTTCTATTAGGTTATTGATCTCTGTCCATTTTGATATTAGGTTGATCTTTCTCAGATGGATTTGCAGGGGCTCTTTATATTACAAGGACATCAGCGCTTTCTCTGTGATATTCCTTCCAGTGTGTCATTTGTCTGTTACCATGCAGAAAATTTTGAGGTTCATGTAGCTGAATTTTTCAATCTTGTATATACTCAAGAAGGCCTTCCCACTTTGACATTTATTTTTATTGTTTTATTATAAAAGCAAGACAACCTCATTCAGAAAGGCTAGCCAATGGATAAAACAAATGAAAAAATATTAAGACAATCCTCAATTCTACCTCCCAACACAACCTGTATTATTCTTTCAGCTTATTTCTTATGCATTGCGTCCTGTCTTCTTTCCATAGAAACTTTCTTGGATTAGTTTCATTGTATAAAATTTGGCAGATGGATGACTAATTCTTTGCCATTTATTTTAACACATGAGAGAGTCTCCCCCTCCCTCCATATTACACCAGGGTTTTCAGGATGGAGAAGCAGCAATTGCTTAGGAAAGCACTGTGGCATTGGAATGTGTATTGTTCAGGTCATTCAGGCAATCCAATAAACACTCTGCTTCCAGAAGGCTGTAACCTAAGGGTCAGCAAGATGCCTGCCGTGGTGGCTGCCCCATACAGAAATCCATCATTAAGGCTGGGGCAACTGTCTTCTGAGCTCAAGTGAGGAAACAGCAGAGAAAGGAGCTCAAAACAAGTAATTTCAAATAGTAGTGAAGTTGCATTTCCAGAGATTTCTCATGTCCAATTTCTAAAACAGTTGCATATAACTAGAAGAAAATTTCCCCTGACTATCAGGTGACAGCTACTAATAAGAATACACCCTTTTCTCTTGTCTCTTCTGCTACCTCTCCTTATGTTACCTTTTCTGTTTCAGTCTTACAGAACTGCTTTAGTGCCCAACAGACACCATGTTATGGAGATAACAATGTTACGGAGATAACATTTCCAGCAGCCATGACTCTTGTTAGTCTGCCTTCACTACCACTTCTTTTTCTCTACTGCAAACCTTGCCTGCAATCTCTTACTCATCTTTCTAGATTCAGCTAGGTATCACAATCTCTAGAGGCTCCCCCAGGGCCTTCCCCAGGCTGCATTAACTGCCCTACTTCTGGGCTCCCAATCGCAGCACCTTATCAAGCAGCTTTACATGGCTCTCTTTCCCTCCAGACTCCAAACTCTTCAGGGCAGCAGCGATTTCTTAATTTACCTTTCTGTTTTCACTGTCTGGTATATGGTAGATGCTTTGTAAGTACTAGTCTTCAGTTGAATAAAATAAGAAGCCATTTGACTTACCTTTGGTTTTTTTGGCAGGGATTAGGATTACATGGATCCTTTGACATGCATGATCCAAACTCAAACTGATGGTCTTGGAGGCCCACACAGCGAGCAATGCAGGCACTGGGGTAAGTGCGCCCATTCTGCCCACATACAGGGACAAACTGATCTGCACAGTTACAGGGCAGACCTGAGGAGAGGAAACAGCCTCAAAAATATGTATGTGTATATTCCCCCTCCCCTTATATTTCCTTGTTAAGGCAAACCATGAGCAATCATGTGAAGGTCTCACGTTAAAATAGAATTGTAAATTAAGTCAGGAAAAACCTTCTCTCCGATCTCTGACAGGGTTTTTTTTTTTTTTTTTTTTTTGAGATGGAGTCTCGCTGTGTCGCCCAGGCTGGAGTGCAGTGGCGCAATCTTGGCTCACTGCAAGCTCTGCCTCCCAGGTTCACGCCATTCTCCTGCCTCAGCCTCCGGAGTAGCTGGGACTACAGGCGCATGCCACCACGCCCAGCTAATTTTTTTTTTTTTTTGTATTCTGACAGGGTTTTTAAAGGCAGCAATGCTCTGAATAGCTCATCTGCAAGATGGCTTTCCTTTGTCCTTTTTATTGCCAACTAGTTGAGGGCCCCCTAGACTTTGATCCCAGGTAGAGACCCCTATTAACAAGGCTATAGGTAGGGAAAGTAAAGACTGTTTCTCCTGATTTGGCATATAAAATCTAGAATTTAGATGTTTGAAGTCTGGTGTGGGGATTTCTTGAATGTTAAAGGCTAATACCAAGCATAAGAAAGAGTGGGCTGGGCACAGTGGCTCACGCCTGTAATCCCAGCACTTTGAGAGGCTGAGGTGGGCGGATCACCTGAGGTCGGGAGTTCGAGACCAGCCTGACCAACATGGAGAAACCCCATCTCTACTAAAAATACAAAATTAGAATGGCATGGTGGCGCATGCCTGTCGTTCCTAGCTACTTGGGAGGCTGAGGCAGGAGAATTGCTTGATCCCAGGAGGCGGAGTTTGTGGTGAGCCGAGATCACGCCATTGCACTCCAGCCTGGGCAACAAAAGCAAAGCTCCTTCTCAGAAAAAACAAAAAGAAAGAGTGAAGGTTGTAGGTTCCTTCCACTCTCATGTCTAAGACAGTAACTTAGAAAATTACTGTAATTTTGAGACTTACAAATTGTTATGAACTTCTTTCTCTGAGTCACATTTGGAGTGGGACACTGGGTCCCAAGAAATGTGGCACAGTTTTGGGTCAGTAAAATTTCCTTAGTCTGCTAGATCAACAGTCATTGACTTAATTTATCCCAGGACACCAGGGGCCACACACTATAGGAAACAGGGGTCTTGCTAGTTGTAAAGCTCAACTTCTAAAAACATTTAGACATTAACAAAAAAATTTTAAAAAGTCTTCCTTGTAAATCCTTTGCTTATTCTTTATCCCCATATCCCTCTATGGTTTCTCTAAGCAGAATGAATAGTCCTTGCTTGAGCAGGGCAAAGGATAATAATAAAGGATGATGATAATAAAGCAGTGAAGGCTGGGGTAGTGTTCGTCCTACCTCTACTTCCTTACCAGTGTGCCATTCACTTCTTATTTCTGATCCCCTTTTTATTTCCAATGGGCTGGAGGTACAAGGTTGGTAAATCCTTACTCTCCTCTCCTCCACTTCTCCTCCACCCGGCCCCCACCCCTCTCCACATGTAATACTAATTCTGGGGAAAGAAGAATCAAGTTGCCACTGCAGCAGTGTGAAATGGGGGCAAGGGCAGCTACCTAGTAACTTTTTACCCACAACCAAAGGTATTTTAGATCTAGGAAAAAGCAGATACCAAGATATACCAGCAGACTGTGCTGTTGCTATTGGCAATAATAGCTTCACGAGAGGAAAGCATCCCATCTCACTAGCCTTTTCACTTATTTATGTTGGTGTAAGAATAATAAGAGCAGCAAAGCATAGGAAAGTCAAGAAAGTAATATTCTGGGATATTATTGTTTGTGGGAGTCTAGATGAAGAAGTAAGCTAAGGTAGGCTGAGGAAGAAGGTGCTGAGAAACAAACTGAGAACATGCATGGACATTTTAGATCATAGCAGTAGGGGTAAATGGGGTATTCTACCAGGTAGAAAAGTTCAATTTAATTAAACCCATTCCAATCACTGGCTCTGTTCTTTTTGACTCATGAAATTCCAGAATATTAGTGCTAAGGGCCCTAAGACACCATTTAGTATAATACCTTCAATTCATAGAGGAAGAAACTGAGATCCAGGGAGGAAAAGCATCTTGCCCTTAGATTCTGTATTGATTTTATTGTG
This sequence comes from Homo sapiens, assembly GCF_000001405.40. Taxonomy (NCBI): domain Eukaryota; kingdom Metazoa; phylum Chordata; class Mammalia; order Primates; family Hominidae; genus Homo; species Homo sapiens. Next base: position 36,110,177 of record NC_000009.12, on the reverse strand, counting down.
TACATTTGCAGTTAAGACTGGAGAAGCTGCCTTGAAGGGAAAAATGTGTGCAAAGAAATGATGGCCCCTGAGGACAGACTCTGGGCGATCACAGTCACCTGTGAAGGTACGACGGTCATCTTCTGAACTGTGCTCACTGAGGCAAAGGCGGGTAGAGCACACCAAATTGCCAGCAAAACAAGAACAGACATTGCAGTCAATACTAAAGGATGTTCCATGACCTGACAGAAACAGAAAGAAAATGTTGATCTATATCATGCATTGAGAAATAGAGCACGTATTACAATTTTAATAGTTCAACAAGTTTTAAAATGGAAATTCCTTTTTTTTTTTTTGAGAAGGGTCTCATTCTATCGCCCAGGCTGGAGTGCACTGGCGTGATCCCAGCTCACTGCAACCTCCGCTTCCCGGGCTCAGGTGATCCTCCCACCTCAGCTTCCCAAGTAACTGGGACTATAGGTGTACACCACCACATCTGGATATTTTTTGTATTTTTTGTAGAGACAGGGTTTCACCATGTTGTCCAGGCTGGTCTTGAATGCCTAGGCTCATGCCATCTGCCTGCCTCGGCCTACCAAAGTTCTGGGATAACAAGCATGAGCCACTGTGCCCAGCCAGAAATTCTTGAAAGATGACTTCTGAATATACCAACTAGAGTAAAATCTGTGGGATTTATATTTTCATATTTGCCTCCTATCGTATTCCTCCAAGCCCCTGAAGTGCTGGTCTTACCAGGGTGCTCCCTATCCTCTAAGAATGTTTCTGGCTGCCCCTTCTGCTTTGAAAGCTCATCTGTCCAGGGCCAGACCTGATGCCATCTTTGGATCAAAGACTCTTCTGATGCCCTGGCAGGAATGCCCAGCTCCCAGAAGAGCACTTGGTCTGCAACTTTTTTTGGCTCAAATTCTCTTATCTTAACACATAAAGCATGATCTCATCCCCCGTCCCGGTTTCAGCTCCATAAGGCACTAGTATGCTCTTTTGTACAGAATAGGCATTTAGTCAGTGAAATGTTACAGAAGGAATGAATCTGTCCTGATATTTTCTGTGATACAAAGTACCTACCTTCATAGTTTAGTCAAGCAGAATATGGATTGAGAGATAAATACCTGACTTGCTCTAAGGCAGAAATTTGAGAGCTAATTTTAGCCAAGAGCACTCTTCTTTCTAATCAAATCTCACACAGAAGAGTAAACCAAAAAGCATATAAAAGCTGAACTACTATGGTTGAAGGGGTAGGGGATGGGAGTAGAAATGGGGTAGCAGAGTGAGCTTGTGGGGAGGGAACAGATCCTAAAAAGTGGTGTTTTTTCACAATTGTTTGAAATCATATATTGACATGAATAGTTGTTGGGGCTACAAGCAAAAGATGGTTAAGGAAGCAGTGGAGTCTAAGATTTTTAGGGAAGGTGGTCAAAGTACTTTTTAATGTACTTTTTTTCCAAACTCCTAACAGTGTAGTTCCTACACCCACTTGCTTTCCATGATGTCAAAATCTGAGTTTCACTTCTGGTGAAGTGAGGGTGGGGTGGGGTATGCCTGAAGAAAGGGTCGGGGGAAGATTACCTGTGTCCTTGGCCTGTGAAGCGTAAGGGATTTGGAGTCAACTAGACCTGGAGCAGAATCCAGCTTTGGTCATTTACTAGCTGGGTGAACTCTTTAAGCATCAGCTTCCTCATCTATGCAGTAAGGGTAATACAGGTATTATTATTACCTATATCAAAGTGTAACTTGGAGGATTTAATGAGATAATGTAAGGCAAGACTTAGCTTTGTGTTTAGCACATGATTAGAATTCAATAAATATTAATTATTATTAGCCATTAGCCCCTTATTGAGGGGACTTCTAAAGACTTCCTTAGAAGTCCTAGTGCTCTGTATAGTTTGAAAAATACTGCCCTGGAGTATCTGATATGCAGACCTTACTCTGTGGTCAGAATCTATCCAGTATTCTTCCTACAAAGTAAAAATAACTAATCTCATATTAAAAACAAAATCAGAGCTTAAGACTCACTTTTTCTTTTTCCTCCAACAATACAAGACTTCTGGAGGTCTATACAGTGCATTTCCATACAGTTTTCTAAGAGTCCACTTTGTCCACATGAACAGATTTTATAACAACCAACTTCCCCTGCAGATGATGGCACCTGGATTAGTGTCCCTTGACGGACAATGAAATCAGAAGCTTCTCCCAGTTTGCAACCTGTACAAGCAAAAATTAGCTGAGAGAGATGGTACTGTTCTATGACATTGTTTTATAACATTAGATATACACTTGATAAAAGTCTTATAGGTACTAAATCACTATTAAAGATTATGTAATAGAACTTTCACCAAATTAAGGAATTGCTTTGGTTCATTGGCCAAAAACATACCTCTCAAATTAAAATTCCACATTCTGGAGGATGGTGGTGATTACAGATCTGTACCCCAAAGTGACCTATCATTCAGTATAACAGTGCTGTAAGATATGTAACTTTTTATTTGTAGGGGCTAGTAAAAAATATTTTAAAATCACAGATATTTTAAAAAATAGAATAGGGAAACTAACAGTATTTTTTTTTTTTTTTTTTTGAGACGGAGTCTTGCTCTGTTGCCCAGGCTGGAGTGTAGTGGCACGATCTTGGCTCAGTGCAACTTCTGCCTCTCGGGTTCAAGTGATTCTTCTGCCTCAGCCTTCCAAGTAGCTGGGACTACAGGCGTGTGCCACCACACCCAGCTAATTTTTGTACCCGGCTAATTTTTGTATTTTTAGTAGAGATGGGGTTACACCATATTGGCCAGGCTGGTCTCAAACTCCTGACCTCGTGATCCACTTACCTCAGCCTCCCAAAGTGCTGGGATTACAGGCGTGAGCTACCGCGCCTGGCCAGTATTTTTAGAATAATATTGTTCAGAAAAACTTTTAGTGATGGAAAACAAGTATACCTTAAATTCAAGGAAAAACTGAATATTTGGGTGGGCTTATGGAAAACCCATTTTCCATTTTCTATCTTATTATATGATGGGTTTTCTGAGTTTAATGAAACAAGAGGATTCTGAATTGAATTCCTTTTTTTTTTTTTTTTTTTTTGAGACGGAGTCTCGCTCTGTCGCCCAGGCTGGAGTGCAGTGGCACGATCTCGGCTCACTGCAAGCTCCACCTCCCAGGTTCACGCCATTCTCCTGCCTCAGTCTCCTGAGTATCTGGGACTACAGGTGCCCACCACCATGCCCGGCTAATTTTTTTTGTATTATTAGTAGAGATGGAGTTTCACCGCGTTAGTCAGGATGGTCTTGATCTCCTGACCTCGTGATCTGCCTGTCTCAGCCTCCCAAAGTGCTGGGATTACAGGTGTGAGCCACTGCGCCCGGCCCCTGAATTGAATTATATATTTAAATAATATGAAATACAGATGTCACCATTTTAAGTAACTATATCTTATTTTCTTGCCAAAGAAAATACTGACCAACTTATAATGTAAGGGTAAATGGACAGAAAATACTATCTTGAAATTTAAAACAGTCCGACATTTCCAATTTTGACAAGATTATGACTCTATAGCCGATATATTACAGTATTACACATATATTATAGATGATCCTTTGAGACATCATGCTTATTTCATCTTTTGCTTTATTTTACTTTAAAAATATTTTAAGGCCGGGCGCAGTGGCTCACACCTGTAATCCCAGCACTCTGAGAGGCTGAGGTAGGTAGATCACCTGAGGTCAGGAGTTCAAAACCAGCCTGGACAACATGGTGAAACCCTGCTGTCTCTACTAAAAATGCAAAAATTAGCTGGGCATGGTGGTGGGTGCCTGTAATCCCAGCTATTTGGGAGGCTGAGGCAGGAGAATTGCTTGAGCCCAGGAGGTAGAGGTTGCAGTGAGCCAAGATAGTGCCATTACACTCTAGCCTGGGTAACAAGAGTGAAACCCCGTCTCAAAAAAAAAAACGTTTTTTTTTAATCTTTTTTTTTTTTTTTTGAGACGGAGTCTGGCTCTGTCCGGCAGGCTGGAGTGCAGTGGCGCGATCTTGGCTCACTGCAAGCTCCGCCTCCCGGGTTCACGCCATTCTCCTGCCTCAGCCTCCCGAGTAGCTGGGACTACAGGCGCCCACCGTGCCCGGCTAATATTTTGTATTTTCAGTAGAGACAAGGTTTCACCATGTTAGCCAGGATGGTTTCGATCTCCTGACCTCGTGATCCGCCCGCCTTGGCCTCCCAAAGTGCTGCGATTACAGGCGTGAGCCACTGCGCCTGGCCTTTTTTAAAATCTTGATTCTAACATGATAAAGAAACATTCTCAATTGGGAAATAGATAAAAAGAAGCAAAATGTTGCAACAACTATATTCTAAAGGGATTGACAGAAAGATAAAGACTATCATAATTCTATGGGATAAAAATCCTTCACCCTTAAAGTTATATATATTTCAACATAACATTAATCTTTATGGAGATAGCTATACATTCTATTGAATATGCTATTTCTCTATATACTAAAGGAAAGGAAAGAAAAAACATGAACAATGTAGAGTATTTTTTTTCAAACATTACAACATAGAAGAGAAAGTACAAAAAGCTGGTCTGAGCTTCTTTTCTTTCATAGTCTAGAACCCTGCAACTCACGAGAGTCAAGTTTTAGACTGTTATTATTAGTTTACAATTTAAATAACAATGGAGGATTACAAGTGTCTGTCTTTTCCTGCTTACATCAATAATACATGTTTAATGAGAAAATCTCAAAACATTATAGAAAAACATAATATAGAACATGAAGTCCCTCATAATCTCACTCCGAAGATAACCCCTATATTACAGAAGGAGCAGGATTGAAAAAAAGAAAGATAGCTCCTATAAAGAAACACTAGCAGCACCTATCCATCCTCTTCTCACACCCACCTACCTCTTACCTTGAACACAAAAGTATGGAAGACAGGGATCTCCAGATGGACATCCTTTTCGGTTTACTTCACAGAGCTCATTGGCAGGGCAAGGATTTGGGTTACAGGGATGAGTCACTTCTTCTACAATGTTACCTAAAGTACTTGGCCCTGAAAAAACCAAAACAGATTAGTTTAACCAACCTAAAAGAGTAAGAGAAAACTGTAAATTATCTGAATTAATTATGGCTGGAATAAATGAAGAGCTCATGAGTGTAAAGTAAGGCCTGATTCTACCAAGCTATTAAAACACCGAGATTCTTTCATTTGTGAAATGATGAATTTCACATAAACATACATTCATTCTTTTTTTAAATTTATTGGGATCTACAATATTCCAGGCAAGGTTCTAGGTGCTGGAGATACAGTGATGAACAAAATAGACAAGTCTCTAACATAGAGTTTACATCTAGTAGAGAAACAGACAATAAATACACTATGTATGAGCTGGGCACAGTGGCTTACGCCTGTAATCCCAGCACTTTGGGAGGCTGAGGCGGGCGGATCACCGGAGGCCAGGAGTTTGAGACCAGCCTGGCCAACATGGTGAAACCCTGTTTCTACTAAAATATAAAAATTAGCTGGGCATGGTGGCAGGTGCCTGTAATCCTAGCTACTCAGGAGGCTGAGGCAGGAGAATTGCTTGAACCCGGGAGGCAGATGTTGCAGTGGGCCGAGATCACATCACTGCACTCCAGCTTGGGAGACAGAGTGCAACTCTTTCTCAAAAAAAAAAGCCCCCCCTCAAATTTAGCTGGGCGTGGTGGCATGTGCCAGCTACTCGGGAGGCTGAGGCAGGAGAATGGCCTGAACCTGGGAAGCAGAGGCTGCAATGAGCCGAGATTGCACTACTGCACTCCAGCCTGGGCAACAGAGTAAGATTCCATCTCAAAAAAAAAAAAAAAAAAAAAAAAAAAAAAAAAAAAATATATATATATATATATATATATATATATATATACACACACACACACACATGCTATGTATGTATATGTGTATCTATAAATAAATAATTAAGTCAGAAAATTGTAAGTAATAAGTAGTGTCAGGGGATAAAAAATGACAGGTATATTTTGGATAGGGTGGTCAAATAAGATGTCTAAGAAGGATAATTTAGCGTGTTTTATCATAAATGAGAATTTATTATGGTAATATGTATGGACTCCAAACCATGATTATATTTAACTTCGGAAATCATGGCCAAGGAAGAGTCTCACTTGATAGAAACCATGTGTGATATTTAAAGAGATATTTAATTTTCCTCCCATTGATATAGTTTCCTTCTACACAAATATTTGCCTGCTGTAATAGAATCTAGAATTATAAATACAATAAGTGTTGCTTACTTGATTTTAGGCCAGACTCATACTCTAAGACTAACAGAGGTATAAGGGCCCTTGGAGTTCATCTCATTTTGCCTAATTATTTCATAAATAGGGAAGCCGAGGCTCAAAGAAGTGATCTGCTCAAAGACACAAAGGTCTAAATTCCAGTCTAATGCTCTCTTTTTTGCTATATTGGTCACAAAGGTTAAGGGACACAGTTTGTTGGCCTTGAGAAAATATGGCGAATACTACCAGCTACAAATCTACCAGCTACAAATCTACCAGCTACAAATCCAGCACATACTTTTCTCTCCCTGATTACTAAAAGATCTCCAATTTTACTTAGGGCCGCAATGGGCCCAGAGCTTAAAAAATAACCTTTCTCAGTTTTCCTTACAACTAGGGATGGACAGTGTGACTAGGGAGAAGTTGTTTGCTCTGTCCCTTCCTTTTTACCTTCTGGAACTAGATTATGGTGGTTAGAACTCCAATAGCCATGTTGTGATGACAAAGTACATTAAGTAATCTTGATGACTGAAGCTAAATGCTAAGGATGGTGGGGAAAGATAAAAGGAGCCTGGATTCCTGATGATGAAGCCCTAGACTATTTGTTTCTGGGCTTTCTTTACTTCTATTTGTTCTGTTTTTTGTTAATCCTACCTAACACAGGAAAACAAAGGCTGACTTCACTGTCTACCTTTGTAGCCAGATCATGGCACAGATGCCCCCTGGTGGCAGCCTGAACACTTCCCTTAACTACTGGGTGTGTAGGAGTTCTACTTGTCATCCCCTGGTTTCCACCATGTATGGGTCTCACTGCCAAGAAGCTGAGCTCCAGCTCCAGGATCCCTCAATGAGATAGCAACACGCTCTTCTAGCTTTTGGCGGGAGTATTTGGCAGAGAAAAACTGAAGCAGTGAGATAAGTTCCATTTTTACATATTAAGCTAGACTATAATTTTTTTTTTTTTTTTTAGACAGAGTCTTGCTCTGTTGCCCAGCCTGGAGTACATTGGTGTAATCTTGGCTCACTGCAAGCTCTGCCTCCCAGGTTCACGCCATTCTCCTGCCTCGGCCTCCGGAGTAGCTGGGACTACAGGCGCCCGCCACCACGCCTGGCTGATTTTTTTGTATTTTTAGTAGAGACGGGGTCTCACCATGTCAGCCAGGATGGTCTCGATCCCCTGACCTCGTGATCCGCCTGCCTCAGCTTCTCAGAGTGCTGGGATTACAGGCTTGAGTCACCACGCCTGGCCTAGACTATCATTTTTTTATACCCTGTTGGGTGAGTAAGTCCAAGCCAATTCCTGGCTCTCATCCACTGACACTCTGATGACAAAAGGCTGATAGTCTCTGGGGGTAAATTCCACTTTCTAGTCATTATTATGGTAAGAAGACAGCAATGATATGGAGCTGGTTATCTGAGAATGCTGGCCCCCTGAGTCACTGCTTAGAATTCCTGACTGACCACAGTTGGTACCTCCTCAGACTGATAGAATCACTTCTGCTTACATATTTTAAAACAACAATTCTTTCCTGGGCCAAAAAGGCCAAGCAAACAAGAGTCTGTGATTGAGATGGTATCATTGAATCCCATGTTCTCAACAGATAAATGCTCATCCAAAACAAATAGTAAAACAAATAGTTGGAAGAGAGAAGTATTTGAAATCTAAAAACACACATACAAAAAAGTACTTACTGAGGTATGTATCCAAAGGTATACAATTCTTCAGATCATCTGTAGGTGACAGAAGCTCACAAATACTTTCAGCTGTGTGGTCTTCAGGGAATTTGTTCTGGTCTCCACATTTTTTAAGAATCTCCACACAATCTGATCTTGAAAAAAAAATGCACGTAAGTTTAGAGCTTGAGGAACCTCCTCATGTTGTCCAGTCAACATCACTTGTTTCTGAAGCTTTCCAGAAAGTAAGCTTTCATAACTTAACATGTTTCAAAAGAGAACAAGAGTCACAGGAGAGCTCAGGTTGAATAATAAATTGAAAGCACCCCTAACTTTCTGTTGTCTGAGACCAAAGCCCTTACTCAAATTGTACACTTCTTCGTACTGTTACTACCAGCAATGTGGCTTTTCAGTATCTTTGAAAGGAAATTAAATGAAGCTAGTCTGATTTACTCTCTGCAAAAATCATATATCCTCACTTCTAGGACCTTATGCTGGCTTGTTTGCTTGCTTGCCTCTTTTGCCTTCCCTTCCTTATCTAAGTCTCTTTTTAGTTATCAACATTAGCATCTGGCCTATAACAACTAGAAAGTCCACTACTTTAAAATGTTCTTGGTCTTCAATAGGGATTTGACTCCTACAAGTTTTCTGTGCTAAGAGTCTACATATTCCCCTCTTGTTGCCTCTTGCTTGTCACCTAATTGTTATACCTCAGTATTTCCCCATCAGGTTATCCCGAAGCCATGTCAGAGAATAGACTGGACTCTGTTTAAGGTTGAAATTATTAAGGTATCCAGCAGCACTGAGCCACATACCAACAGCTTAGGGGCTGGATATTAACTTGGTTTTGGAAAACTTTTGGAAAAAAAGATATGTGAAGAACAATGGGCAGATTACTATGTGTTAAATGCTTTTGGTTTCACCCACTATAGCAGCTCCTATCTTTACTTGATCCTTGATTTCCTAAGCAAAATAAGCTCCTTAAGAAGAGCAAAGTCGGCTGGGCGCAGTGGCTCAGGCCTGTAATCCCAGCACTTAGGGAGGCCGAGGCGGGTGGATCACCAGGTCAAGAGATTGAGGCCATCCTGGCCAACATGGTAAAACCCCATCTCTACTAAGAATACAAACATTAGCTGGGCGTGTAGTCCCAGCTACTCGGGAGGCTGAGGCAGGAGAATTGCTTGAACCTGGGAGGTGGAGGTTGCAGTGAGCTGAGGTCATGCCACTGCACTCCAGCCTGGCGACAGAGTGAGACTCCATCTCAAAAAAAAAACACAAAACAAAACAAAAAAAGAAGAAGAAGAGCAAAGTCTAACAGAATATAAGACAAGTCCATAAATTAACATATAAAAATAGAATTGTGCATCAGAGGTATTTAATAAATGTTTCATGAACTAAGTTCCATAAGAGAAGTACAAATAAAGGTCTATAGGAATCTGTAGTAAGGATAAATTACTTTCAGCTGGAGAAATCTGGGAAGACTACAGGAATGTCTGGTATTTCAGAGGAGACAAGGACAGCCAGTAGGTGGTGATGAGGGGAGCAGTATTTCAACTAGAGGAGGAAAAAGTGGGAAAGCATTTGACATACGGGGGTGATAGGCAAAGGAAGTGGTAAGAGAGAAAATTCTATGGAGAGGCTCTGGCTAGAGATCACGGAGGGTCTGAACTAAAGCTGGAGAATCGTTAGGATGAAAGAAACTTACTTGCAAATAATACTTCCCCGAGATTTACTATGACAAGGTTTAATCTGCAGTGAACAAGCTATTGCTTTCCACATCTCTGGCTGGCACTTTTTAATATCAAGAACAGGTATATTGATAAATGGCATCTTTATGCTTCCTTTCTCCCACAACTTCATGTCATTCATGGCTCCTTGATCTGACTGTGCATTACAACTCCTGAAAAGTTCTGTTGGCCTAAAGAGAAAAAAGGCCAGAAAGAATCAAGAGGCAATTATTTTCTAGAGAGAAGCAACAAGTAAAATCCTGACATACTAATGCATCAGAAAAATCTGGTTTTCTTAAGAAAGCACATACAACCCATGAAAGGATATCAGCTTCGATTGTATGAAGATTCAGTGTAGACACTAGCATTAAACTCTGATTGCATGTTTTCTTTTTAACAGATTCTTGTGGGGCAGTTTAAAACTTCACAATTCTCCAAACAGGACTATTATCCCCAGACTATCCCATTTCATTTCATAAAATAAATATTATGAGGCCAACTTTTTAAAATGGCAACATAATTTACAAAAGCAAAATGCACCAATTTTATGGGTACAGCTTGGTGTGCTTTGACAAATATGTACATCCATAAGCACATCTAAATCAATTAAGGAACCCATCCAACATTTCAGCCAGTTCCCTTGTGCCACTGTTGAGTTAATGCCTCCCTACTGACTGCAACTCAGAGGCCATAACTATTTATACTTATATCACCATAGATTAATTTCGCCTGTTCTAGGCTGGGTGCAGTGGCTCACACCTGCAATCCTAGCACTTTGGGAGGCCAAGGCAGGAAGATAGCTTGAGCTCAGGAGTTTGAGACCAGTCTGGGCAACATAGCAAGATTTCATCTCTACTAAAAAAAAACAAAAACAAACAAACAAAAAAATTGTGGCACGCCTCTAGTTCCAGCTACTCAGGAGGTGTGGCAGGAGGATTGCTTAAGCCCAGGAGTTCGAGGCCAGCCTGGGCAATAAAGGAATACCCCATGTTGAAAAAAATTTAAGCAAAATTTAAAGTAGTTATCAAGTTATTTAAAATTATAATAAACCCACTACATGTTAATATAAGTATTTTTATGAAAAATAACTATTTTCCAAAGTAAACATTAGCGAGAAGGATAGGACTGTTTTACAGTTTTGCAAATCTCTGTAATGTCTGGCTTAATAGAACTCAGGTGGATTTTCATATCTGCTTCTGCATTCAATCTGTTGTTGTATCACATGTTTTATAGCCACTGGAAAGCTCCACTGTTGTTGTTGTTGTTGTTGTTGTTGTTGTTGTTGTTGTTGTTGTTGAGACAGGTTCTCACTCTGTCACCCAGGCTGGAGTGCAGTGGCATGATCACAGCTCACTGCAGCCTCGACCTTGTGGGCTCAGGTGATCCTCCCACCTCAGCCTCCCAAGTAGCTGGGACTACAGGCACCCACCACCACACCTGGTTAATTTTTGTATTTTCTTTAGAGACAAGGTTTTGCCATGTTGCCCAGGCTGGTCTCAAACTCCTGGGCCCAAGCGATCTGCTCACCTTGGCCTCTCAAAGTGTTGGGATTATAGGTGTGAGCCATCATGCCTGGGCTAGAACATTTTCATCACCCTATAAAGTACCCTTGTGCCCCCTCTAGTCAATCCCTGATTCCAGCAGAGGAAAGGATATTCTGATCTTTATCACCATAGATTACATTTGCCTATTCTTGGATCTCATGTGTCAAGAATGTATTTTGTGTTGGGCTTTTTTTCTCAATGTAAGATTCATCCATTGCTATCCCATTGTTTGGATGCACCACAATGTTATATTCTTTCATTCTCCTGATAGATGTTTTGGTTCCTCTCCCCCATTTTTTGGGCTATTACGAATAAGGGTACTAGACAGGTCTTTATTTGGACATATGTTTTCATGTCTCTTGGGTAAATGCTTCAGGATAAAATTGTTAGGTCATAGATTTAACTTTTGAAGAAACTGAAAAAAAGCTCCAAATCCTCAAACTATCTTCTACTCCCAGTAGTAACATACTACAAGAATTCCACTTGCTTCATATGCTTACCAGTCTTTTAATTTCAGGCATTCTTGTGAGGGTGAGGAGGCACTGAATTGCTATTTTAATTTGTATTTTGCCATGACTGATAATAATGAAGCCTTTAATGAACTAGATGGCTATTTCTTTTAAATTTTTTAAATGGACAAAAATTATATATTTATTGTGTGCAACGTAATATATTTAAACATGACACATGTGGAATGGCTAAATTAAGCTAATTAAAATATGCATTACCTCACATACTTATAATTTTTTTGTGGTAAGAACATTTAACATCTACTCTCTTGGCAACTTTCAAGTATACAACTCACTGTTAACTATAGTTACCACATTGTATAACAGATCTCTTGAACTTACTCCTTTTGTCTAAATAAAATTTTGTGTCCTTTGACCAACATTTTCCCAATCCTCTCCCCTCTCTCCTCCCTCTTCTCTCTCCTCCTCCTGCACCACCTTTTCCAGCCACCCTCTGGTAACCACTATTCTATTCTCTGCTTCCATGAGTTTGATTTTTTTAGATTCCACATATAAGTGAGATTGTGCAGTATTTGTCTTTCTGTGCCTGGCTTATTTTATTTAGTGTCCTCCAGGTTCATTCATATTGTTGCAAACGACAGGATTTCCTTCTTTATAAAGGCTGAATAGGATTCCACAGTGTATATATACCACATATTCTTTATCCATTCATTCATTCATTGATGAATACAGGTTGATTCTACATCTTGGCTATTGTAAATAATGCTGCAGTGAATGTGGGAGTGAAATATCTCTTCAACACGCTGATTTCCTTTCCTTTAGATATGTACCTAGTAGTGGAATTGCTGGATCATATGGTACCTTCTATCTTTAATTTTTTGAGGACCCCCCATACTGTTTCCCATAATGGCTGTACTAACTCACATTTCCATCAACAGTGTACAAGACTTCCCTTTTCTCCACATCCTTGCTAACAATTGTTATCTTCCATCTTTTTGATAATAGCCATTTTAACACGTGAAGGGATAGTTCATTGTGGTTTTAATTTGTATTTCACTGATAATTAGTGATGTTGAACATTTTTTCATATACTTGATTAAATGGCCATTGTGATGTCCTTCTTCGGTAAAGGGTCTTTGAAAGTTTCTTGCACAATTTTTTTCTTTTTTTTTTTTTTTTTGAGATGGAGTCTTGGTCTGTCGCCCAGGCTGGAGTGCAGTGGCGCGATCTCAGCTCACTGCAACTTTCACCTCCTAGGTTCAAGCCATTCTCCTGTCTCAGCCTCCCAAGTAGCTGAGACTACAGGTGCCTGCCACCACGCCCAGCTAATTTTTAAAAATATTTTTAGTAGAGACGGGGTTTCACCATGTTGGCCAGGCTGGCCTTGAACTCTTGACCTCAAGTGATCCACCTGCCTCGGCCTCCCAAAGTGTTGAGATTACAGGTGTGAGCCACCACACCTGGCCTTTTTTGCATAATTTTAAAATTGAGTTGTTTTACTTTTTATCATGATGTTGTAGGAGTTATTTATGTAGTCTGGATACACAAGCTCTTTGACAAATATGTGTGTGTGTGTGTGTGTGTATGCACACACCTGTGCATGATATGTTGAACATTCCCTCTCAAGTCTATGACTTGACCCTTCAAGTTTTAAATGATGTCTTTTGGCAAACAAAAGATTTTACGGTTGAAGTCTAATTCATTTTTTTCTTTTAAAATTGTATATTTTGTGTCCTGTCTACAAAATCTTTGCCCACACAAAGTTTGTGAAGATGTTCTCCTATTAGCTTTAAATTTTTAGTTTTTATGTTTAGTTCTATGATCCATCTGGAAGCAGTTTTTTGTGTAGGGTGTGAAACACAGGTTGAGGTTCATTTTTTCCCCCTCCATAAAGATATTCAATTATTCTAGTATTATTTGTTGAAAAGATGTTTCTATTTATTTTATTTTATTTTATTTTTTCTTTTTTTGAGACAGAGTTTTTGCTGTGTTGCCCAGGCTGGAGTGCAGTGGCACAATCTCAGCTCACTGCAACCTCCACCTCCCGGGTTCAAGCGATTCTCCTGCCTCAGCCTCCTGAGTAGCTGGGATTACAGGTGCCCGACACCATGTCCGGCTAGTTTTTGTATTTTTAGTAGAGACGAGGTTTCACCATGTTGGCCAGGCTGGTCTTGAACTCTTGACGTCAGGTAATCCACCCACCTCGGCCTCCCAAAGTGCTAGGATTACAGGCGTGAGCCACCATGCCCAGCCTTTTAAAATTTTTTTTTTGAGATAGGGTCTCACTCTGTCACCCAGGTTGGAGTGCAATGGCATGATCTTGGCTCACTGCAACCTCCACCTCCCAGGCTCAAGCCATCCTCCCACCTCAGCCTCCTGAGCAGCCGGGACTACAGATGCACACCACTACACCCAGCAAATTTTTTTTTTTTTTTTTTTGAGATGGAGTTTCATTCTTGTTGCCCAGGCTGGAGTGCAATGATGTGATCTCAGCTCGCTGCAACCTCCGCCTCCCAGGTTCAAGAGATTCTCCTGCCTCAGCCTCCCAAGTTTACAGGTGCCCGCCACCATGCCTGGCTAATTTTTTTTTTGTATTTTTAGTAAAGACGGGGTTTCACCATGTTGGCCAGGCTGGTCTCGAACTCCTGACCTCAGGTGATCCACCCACCTCAGCCTCCCAAAGTGCTAGGATTACAGGCGTGAGCCACCGTGCCTGGCCAATATTTTGTATTTTTGATTGATGGTGTTTCACCATGTTGCCCAGGCTGGTCTCAAACTCCTGAGCTCAGGCATTCCAACTGCCTCAGCCTCCCAAACTGCTGGGATTATAGGGGTGAACCACCATGCCTGGCTGAAAAGATGTTTATTTTTGTATTGAATTGCCTTGCTGCTCTTGTTGAAAATCAGTTTCCTATACTTGAATTGAATTTCCTAATCTTTTATTGAGGATTTTGGCATCTCTGAGTGACACAGGACAATAGTTACCTTGTTTTTAATGTCCATGTCGGTTTTGGTATCAAGGTAATGCTAGCCTCATAAGAGGAGTTGGGATATGTTATCTGCTTCCTGAAAAATTCTGTGTAATAATTGCATAATTTTTTCCTTATGTGTTTGGTAAGCATTACCAGTAAAGCCAGAAGTTTTCCTTGTGTGAAGATTTATAATTACAAATTCAATTTCTCTAATAGTTATAAGAATAATCCTAACTTGTACTTCTTCTTGTGTTAGTTTTGGTTTTTAAGGAATGCATCCATTTCATCTAAATTGCAGGATTTACTGGCATAAAGTTGTTCATAGTATTCCATTTATTTTTTGAGAGAGTCTTGCTCTGTTGCCCAGGCTGAAGTGTGGTGGTGCAATCTTGGCTTACTGCAACCTCTGCCTCCCAGGTTCAAGCATTTCCTTTGTGATTTCTTCTTTGTTGCATAAATTATTTAGAAGCGTTTGTTTAATTACCAAATATTTGGGAATATTTCAATATAGTTTATTTTTATTGATTTCCAATTTGATTCTGTTGTGTTCAGAAAATATACTTTTTATGATTTTCATCTTCTGACAGCGGTTGAGACTTGCTTTTTAACCCAGCATATGTTGTTCAAATCCTCTATATCCTCACTGATTTTTTTCCATTTGTTCTATTAGTGAGGGAGAGGTGTTAACATTTCTGAATATGATTGAATATTTCTCTCTCTTTAGGGTTTACTTCTGTTTTTAAGTATTTTGAGTATATGCATCTATCTGACATTAGGTGCATATATATCTAGGTTAATTGTATCTTCATGATAAATTGAACTTTGATCATTATAAGGTGATACTCTTTATCTCCAATAATAGTCTTTGTCTTTCTAACAACCTCTGCCTTTCAATCGATGTTTTTAGTTCATTTACGTTTATGTAATTATTGATACAGTTGGGTTTAAGTCTCTATCATTTTGCTGTGGTTTTCAATTTGTCTCCTTTTTCTTTCTGTCTTCTTTTGGATGGATCAAGTATTATTTTAGTTTTCCATTTTATATTTCCTATTAGCTTCTTAGCTATACCTCTTTGTGTTGTGTTTTAAATTAGTGGTTGCTCTAGGCATAATATATGTCCATTATTTATTATAGTTTTCCTTGAATTAATACTATACAATGTCACAAATAATGTAAGAAACTTATAACGGTATAATTATTTACCTCTCTCTTATCCTTTTTGCTACTGTCATATATCATATATTTTACTTCTATGTATAAATTCCACAATACATTGTTATTATTTTTGCTTTAACCAATTACTTTTGAAAAATAAAATACAAAAGAAAAAAAAGAAAAAGAAAATAAAGAAAAAATATTTTTCATGTTTACCAACATTTACCAATCCCAGTGCTCTATAGGTCTGAGTTTTCATGTGGCATTTTCCTTCAGACTGAAGAATTTCTTGTAGTGAGAGATTGCTGGCAGAAAATTCTGAGGTTGTTTTTTTTTGTAATATCTAGAAATACCTTTATTTTTGAAGAATATTTTCATTGAATATAAGATTTTTTTTTCTCTGAGTACTTTAAGGATACTACTTGGGATACTACTTGATGGTCTTTGGTTCTCCATTGTTTCTGAAAGGAAGTCACTTGTCATTTTTATTGTTATTCCATCATATGTAAAGTGTCTTTTTTTCTCCCTTTGGTTGTTTTAACTATTTCTCTTTGCCTCTGGTTTTCAACAGTTTGACTATAATGTGCTAGGTGTGTCTCTCTTTGTATTTATCTGACTTAGCGTTTACTAAGGTTTCCCAAAAAATGGGTTAATGTATTTGATCACATTTGGAAAAATTTCAGCCAAGGTTTAATCAAATATTTTTCTGCTCCTTTCTTTCCTTTCCTTCTGGGTTACTACCACAGATGTTGTATCACTTATTCTCTGTGCTTTGGTTTAGATAGTTTCTATTGAGCAATCTCCGAGGTCACTGACCTTTTTCTTCTGCTGTGTCTATTTTCCATTCCCTACAATAAATTTATTTTAGATATTGCATTTCTCAGTTTTAGAGTTTCCATGTGGTTTTTTTTAGAGCTTCCATATCTCACCTATATCTATCTTTACCTGTAGATCTTTCAATATATTTATCATAATTAGATTCTTTATCTGCTAATTCCAATAGTTGGGTCACCAATGGGTATGATTGTTTTTTCTCTTAACTATGGGTCATATTTCCTATTTTTCTCATTTCTAGTAATTTTTGATTGTATAATGGACATTATGCATGATACTTTGTGGGATTTAGGATTTTGTTACCTTCTTTGGAGGAATGTTGTTTTCACACCAGCAGGCAGTTAAATTACTGACAAATACCTCCTTCCTCTGGAGGCAGTTTCAGGTTTTGTTAAGGTTTTTCAGCTTTACTCTTAGCTCTTGGATGTCGTATGTACTCCCAAGGTTTGGCCCTTATGGGGTTTACTAGGCCCTTCTAACTTGGCATAATCTGAATTCTAAATCGTCTGCCCAGCAAATGCTAACTGCTATAGTCTATGTTCACCTTCCCCTGGGTTCCTTGTAGTCTCATCCTGCAAAAGTACAATTTAGGAGTCAGCCAAGGACTTAAAAGGAGTCTGTTTATGGATTTTGGGACATTTCTTTTTGTGGTTCCCTCCCTTGTGGGATTTTTTTTTTCCTTCAATATCTAGCTTCTCTGGCAGGACCAAACTCTGATGTCTCACTCCTTAGGCCAAGACTGCTGCTTTCTGCTTGAACTCTACTCCCCATGAAAAGAAACTGAAAGTGCCTATGAGGAAGAAGTGCACAAATGTGGCTTTCGCTCAGTGTGGTTTCTATCTTTCAAGAGACGTTGGCCACTCGTGGTGGCTCACGCCTGTAATCCTAGCACTTTGGGAGGCTGAGGCAGGCAGATCACTTGAGATCAGGGGTTCGAAACCAGCCTGGCCAAGATGGTGAAGCCCCGTCTCTACTAAAAATACAAAAAAAAAAAAAAAAAAAAATTAGCTGGGTGTGGTGGCAGGCGCCTGTAATCCCAGCTACTTGGGAGGCTGAGGCAGGAGAATTAATTGCTTGAATCCAGGAGGCGGAGGTTGCAGTGAGCCGAGATCATGCCACTATACTCCAGCCTGGGTGACAGAGTGAGATTCTGTCTCAAAAATAATAAAAAAAAAAGATGTAGACCCTCCTGCTTTTGATCAGTCTCCAATACCTTCAAAACAATTGTTCTTTTATATTTTGTGCGGAGTTCATAATTGGTATTGGTAGGACTGTTATTCTCATACAAGCTACTCCACAATTACCAGAAGCCAGACCAGAACTATGTGCCAAAGTCTAACTTTCAAACATTTCAGATGTACTCAATCTCTAAATCAGGTCTTTACTGGCTAATACTCTATCACCAGTTTTAAAGATATCTCAATTTTCTCACTCTTAAGTAATACTCTGAGTACTTTAAAAAAAATAAGATGTGTGTTAGCTTGAAGTAAACACCATCTGACAAAAATATCTAGAACTTCCTTCTGGCCCAATTGAATGATTCTCTTCCCTTTTGCCCTCTTTATTTCTGGGTTGTAACTTATAAATCAGCCACCTCTTCTTTAGTAACTCTCTCTCTCTTGCTTCTGTATGGAGTTCTCTCATTTCGTGCTTCCGGTGCCCTCTTCTGTTTTCTTTGGTTTCTTCAACCATTAACTGTTGATATGCTCCAAGGCTCAGTTCTTGCCTCCTTATTTTTCTAATGATACTTGATACCCTGGGAAAACATCTATTTGAATTGCTTTTGTAAAGAAATATTTTTGTATGAAACAGGGGACTCACAGAGAAGAAACCTCAACCAGTCTCAAGGTCCTTTAAAGTAAACTGTTTAAAAGTGGACATTTGGATGACCAAATAGTTCACAATAATTTATTCTACAATGAATTACTTCCACTGGTGGTACAGTAGAAGGGAGAGGGGACTGACGGCAGAAGAGATTCTTTGAATTCCAGAAGCTTGAGGTATCTCTAGATTGGAAGGGACTTTGTAATAGTGTTTCCTTTCCCAGAGGTGGCTTACCAGATGGAATACTGCATTTAAAGATTAAATCATAAAGAAGACTTTCTTTTAACCCAACAGGAATAAAATCAGAATAAAGTGGTATTTCACTTATTTATAATTAATGATAAAATATTTCCATTCCATGTATAATAATTTGTCTTACCTGTTGTTAAAATTAGTACAGTAAGTAAGGTTTCTACAGCCCAACTGGCAAGGTTCCCGGACATCCGCTAAACAGGTCAACATGGACACTTCCACTGGATTATATTCACAAAAGCGATCAAACTCTTGCCAACTCTGTGTATTGCCCCAGCTCATGCTGTAAAGTTTAGTGCAGAGTTCCCTGAAACAAGAGCACAAATGCAGAAGCCGACATGAGCCAACCAAGTAAATATTTGATTTGCATAAAACTAAAACTCTATGAACTATATACTTTGGAACGTATGTGAGAAAAAAAGTAAAAAAACCAAATGACTATTTCCTAGAAACTAGAGCCAGAAAAAGTTGATTGTTTTCCATGGAAAACAGGCTTCTTTTATCACCTACCTTTTCTCTTTTTGTCAAGGTTGCTAGAAATCTCAGTGCCAAATTTAATGTTCAATTACAGTATTTGTGCATCCTTAGTTCCTGGCACAATTATTTCCCCCTATATCTTTCTGATTTCTTTTTTACTTTTACTTAAAGTACATGGTTTTGCCTCTGCAAAGATATATTCCCTTATATTTATGTTCAGTCACAGACGGTAAAACTAGGACATGGTCCTCTGACTTCTTTTAAGAAGCATGATAGACTTAGGGTACATTAGTTTCTCCCTGAAAAACTATACTAAAGCCATTTCTATTCCCTAAGATATTCCAAAGCCTCTATGTACTATTGTAATACACAATCTTCTTATTTTTAGTACTCAATGATTACAAAGCAACTTAAGTATGTGTATATAGCTAAAACATTTATACCATTTCTAAAGTGCTCTCACACATGATATTCATTTTATTTATAAAATACATGTTTACAATAAAATTTTCATATTATTGAAATATACAAAATTATAAGTAAAAATTTTCATTCACCTTATATTTTGACTGTCATATTTACCCCTATGACAAAGATATCTTTACTTTTACATTTGTTCATTCACCCCACCAATGTTTATTGAGTGTCTATTTTGTGTGAGGGCCTGTTGAAAGCACTGGAAATACAATGGTGAATAAAACAGACAAGGTCCCTGCTATCAGTGAGGCTTACACATTATGGGAATAAGGAAGCTGTGATCAAGTTACATCAGGTACCTCGATCTGGAAGCTTTCTTTTTTCTAGTCCTTAACTTTCTTTCTTTTTTGTTTTGTTTTTAGAGACAGAGTCTCACTCTGTCACCCAGTCTGGAGTGCAGTGGCGTGATCTCGGCTGACTGCAGCCTCTGCCTCCTGGGTTCAAGTGATTCTAGTGCCTCAGCCTCCCAAGCAGCTGAGATTATAGGCATCTGCCACCACACCTGGCTAATTTGTGTGTGTGTGTGTGTGTGTGTGTGTGTGTGTGTGTATTTTTAGTAGAGATGGGGTTTTGCCATGTTGACCAGGCTGGTCTGGAACTCTTGACCTCAGGCGATCCATCTGCCTCACCCTGGAATTACAGGCTTGAGTCACTGCATCTGGCTAGTCCTTAACTTTCTATAGGTTGGGTATCCCTCATCTGAAATGCTTGGGACCCAAATTTTGGATTTTTTTTGGATTTTAGAATACTTGTATATACCTAATGAGATATTTTGGGGCTAGGACCCAAGTCTAAACACGACATTCATTTATGTTCATATATACCTTATACACATAGCCTGAAGGTAATCTTATACAGTATTTTAAATAATTTTGTGCATGATACAAAGTTTTGACTGCATTTTGACTGTGACCCATCACATGAGGTCAGGTGTGGAATTTTCCACTTGTGGTGTCATGTCAGCACTCAAAACGTTTCTGATTTTGGAGCATTTTGGATTTCAGATTTTTGGATTAAGGGTGGTCAATCTGTATTTGCCTTGGACAGGTTATTTAACATCTCATAGTTAGTTTATTAAGTGTAAAAGAAAAATTACATAAATTTCTCCAATTATCTCCTAAGGTTTTATGAAGATGAAATCTGATGAAAATGCAAGCCTTCAGCAAACCATAAAACCCTGTATCAAGGTTAGAGAGAAGGAAAAGCCTTCCTTACTGAAGCTCTTTTGGGACAACACGGCCATTCCAACCTCTAGTGACTCTACGTAGGTGTAAACTTTTTTGTGGGCATTCAAAGAAACACTCAGCATCCTTCCCATAAATATATTTATTAACTTCTACAAGCAATCTAATTTCCTTAATTACAAGCCTAATTTAATTTCCCTTTAAGCCTTTTTGTTAATTTTCTTTGGAGATTTTTCACGTCTTTCATTTATTTATTTGGAGACAGAGTCTCGCTCTTTTTCATGTCTTTAATTAATTAATTAATTTATTTTGAGACGGAGTCTTCACTGTGTCACTCAGGCTGGAGTGCAGTGGCGCAATCTCGGCTCACTGCAACCTCTGCCTCCCAGGTCCAAGTGATTCTTCTGCCTCAGCCTCTCAAGTAGCTGGAATTACAGGCATGTGCCACCACGCCCCGCTAAATTTTGTATATTTTTTAGTAGAGACAGGGTTTCACCATATTGGCCAGGCTGGTCTCAAACTCCTGATCTCAGGTGATCCCCTGCCTCAGCCTCCTGAAGTGTTGGGATTACAGGCATGAGCCACCGCGCCCGACCTTCATGTCTTTTAAAAAATTTGCCAAAGTTTGATTGACAATTACCAAAGTCTGATGAGCTATTCTAGGCAAAATTTTTTGCTAAAGGTCCATCCAATTTAGAAACCACAGGAAAGATTGTTTTACGCCTGGTATCTTATATTCATTTCAGGATATCCGAGTAACATGGGGTCCCTTTTTACCCCAAATATCTCTAATAAAGCACATTTCTATTGTACCTGTGTTCTACCATGATCTTAGGTATCTCCATTTGTTTTTGTCTCTAGACTGCAATTCCTACATCCTATATTTGTATTGTTAATTTTTCATCTCTAAGTGTATCACCAAGATGAATGCCAATATGCTACCACCTAACTCTGGTTATAAGTGCTAACCCAGGTTATCCACCAATATAATAAAAAGTTCAAAGTTTCATAATTTAATAAAGAGAATGTCCCTTAGATGTCAGATCAAAACATCTTCTAAACTGTAAGCTTACTTAATGATCTCTATAAGGATAGAATTCATCTATTGCATCATCTTAAATATTTACTACCCTGCCAATGCTAATCCTCCACACCCCAAAACACAGAGCTTTTAGCACTCAATATACAGAACAATGTTTTGTATACGGTACACAATGCTCAATACACATTTGTTGGATGAAATAATATTTTATATTTTCTAAATGCTAAACCTATACCACGTAAGAATATAACACACGTTTGCTAGGCTTAAAATCATTAATTAAAATGCCATTTTCTACTGATTTTGGTAAAGGAAAATGAAATACTAACCTACATGTTGAAGTGTTTGCTTTAGAACAACAATGCAATTTAGCCCCATCGAGGCCTGTAGAGGGAGGAGGGTGTACAGTGACTCCAGGGTGAACAGATTGTGAGCTTTCAAGAAAACATTGCCAAAGAGGATCTTGAGGCAAGGGCTGGGTCTTACAACCCTCGATGAGACCATCAACAATCTCCATTTCCGTTTTCTTGGACATCAGGATTCTCTTGCAGGCATTTTGGCAAGCATGGTCTTCAGCTCTGTCACAGCAATATAAACCTACATTTTCAGAATATAAGTGGCTTAATTAGCTGTTTTTTTTGTTTGTTTTTATTGTACTTTAAGTTCTGGGATACATGTGCAGAATGTGCAGATTTGTTACATAGGTATACACATGCCATGGTGGTTTGCTGAACCCATCAACCTGTCATCTACATTAGGTATTTCTCCTAATGCTATCCCTCCCCTAGCCCCCAACTCCCTGACAGGCCCTGGTGTGTGATGTTCCCCTCCCTGTGTCCATGTGTTCTCATAGTTCAACTCCCACTTATGAGTGAGAACATGCAGTATTTTGTTTTCTGTTCTTGTGTTAGTTTGCTGAGAATGATGGTTTCCAGCTTCATCCATGTCCCTGCAAAGGACATGAACTCATCCTTTTTTATGGCTGCATAGTATTCCATGGTGTAGATGTGCCACATTTTCTTTATTCAGTCTGTCACTGATGGGCATTTGGGTTGGTTCTAAGTCTTTGCTACTGTGAATAGTGCTGCAATAAACATATGTGTGCATGTTTTTTTTTTCTTTTTTTGTCATGCTCTGCTTAGCACAGAACATGGCAGTGTAGTGGAAGCCATTACTACTCTTAGTTATATGTCAGTATTTGCAGAATACAGGCCCTACCAAATTCTCTATTACTTTGCAGTGTAGCAAAAAGGTGAGGAGCTTTAGGTGGACAAGGTATCTATTACCAGAATTCACCACTGTCTCCAATCATGGGATCTTTAGCACCATCCTTACAAAAATGAAAGGCCATCCTACACCTAAGAAGTCCTCACAGGAGAGGTATTTGATATTCCTAGAAAAGGTATTGTAGATGAAACTGGAATTATTTCCTGCTAGAAACAATTACCTAAAAGGGATTATGTTCTTGACATGAGAGAAATGACTAATTTTTATAGCAACAAACACAAACACCATATTGAGAGGTGAAGCCGGCTGGGCCTCTGGGTCAGGTGGGGACTTGGAGAACTTTTCTGGCTAGCTAAAGGTTTGTAAAGGTAGCAATCAGCACTCTGTAAAAATAGACCAATCAGCACTCTGTAAAACGGACCAATCAGCAGATGTGGGCGGGGCCAAATAAGGGAATAAAAGCTGGCCACCCGAGCCAGCAGTGGCAACCTGCTCCAGTCCCTTTCCATGCTGTGGAAGTTTTGTTCTTTCACTCTTCACAATAAATCTTGTTGCTGCTCACTCTTTGGGTCGGCACTACCTTCATGAGCTGTAACACTCACTGCGAAGGTCTGCGGCTTCACTCCTGAAGTCAGCGAGACCACGAACCCACTGGGAGGAACAAACAACTCTGGATGCCACCTTTAAGAGCTGTAACACTCACGCGAAGGTCTGTGGCTTCACTCTTGAAGTCAGCGAGACCAAGAACCCACCGGAAGGAACCAATTCCAGACACAATATTTCATTACATTCCAGGACCACATAAAGCTTTTATATATCTTATGCTAATTAATCTAAGTTGTAACATAAATAGTACAGTAGCGAACTCTGACAAGATATCAGTTTGGCTCTGCCTTTAATTTTCTCAAAGAATCAGAAATAAAAAAACACTTTCAACCATATTACAGAATTCAGAAGGGCTTCTTTGAAGTAGTTTTCTCTGACTTTGGAAGAAATCTGTGCATATCTGTTTGGCGCCTTCTTTTCCAGATTCCTCTGTATTGGCAAAGATGGAGACGGTTGTTCTACCCTTAAAACCTCTTTCTGCTTTTTTATTGAGCTGCCATCTCCTTAGCTCCAGCAGTATCTCGTATAGACTAAATGTCAGAGAGCACAGATCTGCCTTTAAAACAAATGAAGGTTATTGGGGCAATGCTTCATCCTCTGATTTTGACCACACAGCTACACCAAAGGATGTCAAAAGCCATTAGAGTTCTGATTTAGATGGTGGCCAAACAAGGCACACAGTACTGCTACTGAGTTACAAAAAACAAGTCTTTCTTTCTTTTCATCTTTTTTTTTCCCCCCGAGGCAGGGTCTTGCTTTGTTGCCCTGGCTGGAGTGCAGTGAAGTGATGATGGCTCACTGCAACCTTGAACTCTTGGGCTCAAGCGATCCTCCAGCATCAGCCTCCTGAGGAGCTGGGTGTGTCACCACACCCAGCTAATTATTATTATTATTTTTTTGTAGAGCTGGGTTCTCACTTTGTTACCCAGGCTGGTCTCAAACTCTTGGCCTCAAGCAATTCTCCTGCCTCAGCATCACAAAGCGCTGAGATTACAGACATAAGCCACAGAGCCTCTTTCAATATCACAGTGTAAATCAAAACATTGACATCTTATAAATCAGTCTTTGGTCAGTTTGGTCAATCAGTCAGTTTTTATAAATCTGGTCACCTCTAGGTGAAGAAAATGGATTCCAGGATGTACAAAGCGGAGACTCTGAAGAGCCATTTCAGGTGCAGCTTCATCAGGAGGCCCTAATTTTTAAAAGATATCAGGCTCTCTTCTCATTGTTATGACTTTTTAATTACAAAAGTAATAATTGCTCATTGGCAAAAAATTCAAACACTGTGGAAAATATATAAAGTGAAACAATTAGGTATAAACTAAAAATATATCACACTATATTTTTAGTTCTGTGATTTACTTTTTTTTTGCTTAATACATCTTGGACTTCACTATTTTTTAGAGACAGGGTTTTGCTCTGTCACCCAGGCTGGAGTGCAGTGGCACAATAATAATTCACTGCAGCCTTGACCTCCTGGGCTCAAGCCATCTTCCTGTCTCTACCTCTCCAGTAGCTAGGACTACAGCTATGTGCCACCATGCCCAGTTAATTTTTTAATTTTTTGGAGACATAGGGTCTCACTATGTTGTCCAGGCTGGTCTTGAACTTTTGACCTCAGGCAATCCTCCCATCTAGGCCTCCCACAGTGCTAAGGTTACAGGTGTGAGTCACTATGCTGGCCAACTCGGACGGGCCTACCTTCCTTCCTTCCTCCCTCCCTCCCTCCCTTCCTCCCTTCATCCCTTCCTTCCTTCTTCCTTCCTGACGATGTCTGGTCTGTTGCCCAGGCTAGAGTGCTGTGGCACAATCTCGGCTCAATGCAACCTCCACCTCCAAGTTTCAATCAATTCTCCTGCCTCAGCCTCCCGAGTAGCTGGGATTACAGGCATGTGCCACCACACCTGGCTGATTTTTGTATTTTTAGTAGAGACAGGGTTTCAACATGTTGGTCAGGTTGTTCTTGAACTCCTGACCTCAGGTGATCTGCCCACCTCAGCCTCCCAAAGTGCTGGGATTACAGGCGTGAGCCACCGTGCCTGGCCTTTTTGTTTTGTTTTGTTTTTTTAGACAGGCTCTCTCTCTGTCATCCAGACTGGAGTGCAGTGGTAGGATCTTGGCTCACTGCAACCTCAGCCTCCCAGGTTCATGTGATTCTCCAGCCTCAGCCTCCCAAGAAGCTGGGATCACAAGCGTGTGAACCTGGCTAATTTCTGTATTTTTTGTAGAGATGGGGTTTCACCATGTTGCCCAGGCTGGTCTCAAACTCCTGAGCGCAAAACGATCTGCCTGTCTTGGCTTCTCAAAGTGCTGGGATTACAGGCATGAGCGACCACACTCAGCCTTGGACTTCTACGTAAGAAGTCCTTTTTTTTTGTTGGTTGCCAAGTGTTATTATTCTATAGGTATGCCGTAATTTACTTAATCAATTTTAATCAATGCTGTATTGATGGATGTTTGGGTTGTTTGTCATTTTTCTCTATTATACCAGCATTGTAGTGAACATTGTTTATATGCATATATATTTATTTTTGCAAATTTATATAAGTTTTCTTATGAGATAAATTCTGAGAAATGGAACTGCTAGATCAGAAGCTTATGATAATTTGAAATCCTAATGGTCATTACCCAACTTCCCTCTAAAAAATCCATATCAGTGAACTCTCCCACCCTCAGAATTGAGAATTCCTGTTTCCTCATACCCTCTACAGTTTCATCTTTCTTGGCCCCTTTTGGCTGTGACAATATTATTCAATCTGCCAAATCTAAATACCAAAGGAAGTCTGATATTTCTCAAATGACCCAGACTGCAGATATCTACAAGAACGTATCACTTCTTTTTACAAACGATTTTACCAAAGATTGAAATGAGAAGAATATGTCCCTTTTACTTACTATCCGTTGGGTTCCTCATTGGATAAGATTGAGTATAATTGTTCACACAATGTATTAATTGTGGACTAATAGAGGCGCAATAATTTTCCACTGCTTTTATCTGAGATGGACCAGGAGAAGAGTCTGTTCGAAAAATGGCTTGACAGTATTCTCGGCAGTTTGTGTGATGACCTGCATAACTGCAACAAACCGAGCCCACTATGGAGAAAAAAAGAGAAGGCACTGACATGGAAACAGCTTTTTGTTAACATTAAATCATCATCATAATGATGGAACAATATGTCTTTCTAAATTTGAGAAATAAAACCATGCCACAGACGATGAACACTTAAAATCGGCACTTCTGTAGGTATACTCACGGGGACATTCAAGTGCTCACTAGTGTAATAAAGTCATTAATCATCAACTTACAGTCTATAGTCCAGTGGTTCTCCACAGGAACAGTATCACACCCCACAAGGAGTTGGACTACGACTGGCATTTAGTACATGAGGGTTAGGGCTGCTAAACGTCTTGCAATGCATAGGACAGTCTCAGACAACAAACACTGTCTCTCAAAATGCCAAGAGTGCCCATGTTGAAAACCAGTGAAGCAGTGTCTTTCTGTGTTAGATTTGTAGAGGTTTATAAACACAAAGCAAAGCAAAACCAAACCAAACCAAAATAAAACAAAACCCCAAATCCCTCACATTTATAAAACAGGGCCAGTAAAAACTAAGTGATGTAAGGATCATTTAATAAATTTGACATTTATATAACTGTATATCTTGAAACAAAATCCCAAAAGTTCTGTACAGTTTGAACATCTATCTGTAAGAGTTTGCCTAAATTGAGATAGACTTCATCTCACAATTGATATGTCCTGCTTCAACACTGAAAAGAAAACTCATTTGAAATAAATATTACTCTGGATTTATTTATTTAAAAAATCAATGGGCTGTCATTTAAGGTATTTTGGGAGAGCTAGATGAGTAGCTGGGGGTGCAGATGTGGGATCTGTAAAGGAGAAGAACAAGAACCCCTCACAGGAATCTAAGGGAGTCTGTGGGAGGCTGAAGGGAGAGGTAGAGGTATGGGAGGAAGAGGTTAAGAGAAAGCAGGGGGGTCGGGTGCTGTGGCTCACATCTATAATCCCAGTACTTTGGAAGTCCAGGAGTTTGAGACCAGCCTGGGCAAAATGTTGAAACCCCATCTATACCTAAAATACAAAAATTAGCTGGGTGCAGTGGCATGTGCCTGTGGTCCCAACTACTAGGGAGGTTGAGGTAGAAGGATGGTTTGAGCCCAGGAGGCGGAGGTTGCAGTAAGCCAAGATCTCGCCACCACACTCTAGCCTCAGCAACACAGCCAAATCTTGTCTCAAAAAGAAAAAAGGAGAGAGAGAGAGAGAGAGAGAGAGAGAGAGAGAGAAAGCAGGGAGGAAATTCTTGATAATTATTAGGGATAGATATGGAGGAACCAGAATCAGGTTTCTGGTGAATTCCAAAGACCCATGAGCAGGGATTCTGGTGACTTCCAGAAATAATGATAATGATAATAATAAAGTCATAACCAAAGAAACTGAACTAGGACTGAACTGATATAGGACAAGTCTCAGTTTCCCAGACCAGGAAACTATTCCATACCTACTGTACCGCCTCTTTTAAACTTGCAACTACTACCAAACTTATTGTGTTTATTGCCAAAGAGTTCATTTTCTTCACAAAGAACAAATTTTTTTTTTTTTTTTTGAGACACAGTCTCACTCTGTCCCCTGGCTGGAGTGCAGTGGCGCGATCTTGGCTTACTGCAACCTCTGCCTCCTGGGTTCAAGCGATTCTCCTGCCTCAGCCTCTCTAGTAGCTGGGATTACAGGCACGTGCCACCATGCCCAGCTAATTTTTGTATTTTTAGTAGAGATGGGTTTTCACCATATTGGCCAGGCTGGTCTCAAACTCCTGACCTCAAGTGATCCACCTGTCTCTGCCTCGCAAAGTGCTGGGGTTACAGGCATGAGCCACAGCGCCTGGCCAAAGAACAATGATTAATGGCTGCATTTATCACTGTAAACCTCAGTGAGGATACATTGGGGGTGGTGGTGGGGAATGGTGAGGACATATAAGAACAGACACATAGGAACAGGACAAGATGCCTATCTTCTGATTCCTCCATTCAGCTGGCTTTTTCACCAGTGTGGGAGGACATAAGATTACATGCCTGAGACTACCTGGAAAATCTTGAACTAAGCCTCAGTTAGAAAGGATAGAAGATAAATTACAGACAGCAAATGTTTCTTATTATCCTTCAATATACTTTCCTGCTGAGCTAAAGAACTCTTTGTTCCTTACATGTGTTTTCCCATGTCTGTCTGCTCTCACTGTTCCCTTCACCTGTAAGCCCTTCCTCCAATCTCCATTTCCTTCATTCTCCACTGTTCACATCTTACCCATCCTTCATGCCCGGGATCAGCTACCAACTCCATGAAGCCACCTCTAAGTACCCCTGCAGAATATGATCCCTTCTTTCTCTGAACTCCTGGAGCACTTTATCCAGTGACACTATCTCATATCCTACCATATCCCAGCATTCTTTGTGTACAGGTCGTGTCCTCCACAGATGTGTGTCTGCCCCACACTGACCAAGTACTCAATCAACGTCTGTTGAATGAACTGAGACGTAGCACTCGGCAAGTGCTACATTATATAGCATGGGTGTACTTAACTTCTGAAAATGGGCCTATTTATTGGGTTGTGATCATCCTCTAGCACACTGAGCTTTAGTATCTGCATTGTAGATCTACAGTTAAGACATGGGAATTGTTATAATACATGAATGACCTAAATACACCATGGGAAAGAGCCTATCGGAATCCTGCTGTGCACATTGCTTCAGATGGCTAATTATATCTTTGGACTGTTTGTACAACCATTGACAAATATACTTACTTTCATTTCTGCTAATGCAACTGAAAAGAGCATTCTGTAAATTGAAGAAAAACAAATAAACAGAAATTAACAACCAGAGAGAATTTGTAATTTAATTCCACTTTATGGTTACATGGAAATCATGATATTAAAACTATTTAATTCTTCCCTAAATCCAAGACTGAAAACACAGAAGTTATGAAATGATATTCTGGTAAAAAGGGAAACCATCTTCCAACATATATCAGGATCAAGATGACTACTTGGAGCCATAAGCTGACCAGTTATAGCAAACCAAGTTTATGTAAAGCTGTAAGTGTGTGGGAGGGGCTACAATGTATTAATCTTAATTATTCCTTGCAGGATATAAAAACTTTCCAGAAAATAATCTAATAAATGACATCTAGGGAAATATATATTTCATGTAACCACTGCATTTTAGATTTGAAAGGATTTTAGACATTATCTCTACTTGTTCTCAAACATGGCTGTACACTGGAATCATCTGAGTTTCCTAGACCTTACCCTAGACTACAGATTCAGAATCTAGGGGTGAGGCACAGAAATCTAAATTTTAAACAAGACTTGAAATACAGTTTTTTTATAGCCATCCTGGGACCAGAGTTTGGGAATCTATCATTTTACAGATGAAGAAACTGTTTCCTCAGCAGGGTAAAAGAGACCCGCCCCAGGTAATAGAAAAAGTCAAAAGCGAGTTTGAGACTATAATTAGTGTCTCTAGAGTGCTTAGATTATTGTTCAGAAAACACCACCCTGTATTAAAGTCAATGTAAAGAAAATAAAACCCAAAACAAGACAAAAATGAAAAACTTATACAAAGCCATTTGGATATTTAGGGCTTGTCAGCTATGAATAATAATCAATCACAATGGGAGGATAATTACTTCCTAAAAGAAATAATATGGGCATAAATTACAGGCAGAAGGAAATCAAGCACACCCTTATTGTTGAAACGAGACGATTTTGGCTTTTAATTGCAGCCATATTGCAAGCTGGCTAGGTGATGGGGATTTGTTAAAGGATCAGCTATTGGCATTTAAAACCTAGCTTCAAAGATCCCTCTATGTAGCTGTGTGAAGCTGTATTCATTCATTTTCTCTGCTAAATAATATTCCATTGTAGGAATATGCCACACTTGATTTAACAATTTAAAGCAAAATAAAACAGAAAACCCTGGGCCTCATAGATAAGGGTTCCTCAATTCACCCAGTATGAATTCTTTCTGCTAGAGACTCCATCAAGCAATATAACAGGAGTGAAAAAGTAAATATTCTTAGTGTTCATTAACAATGATCTTGTTTATATCTCTCTTCATTCATGTTTCCTTCTTTTAGTGTGACTTTTCAGTTATGCATTATAGATAACTCTCTATTTAAATGGATTCACTGGACTCAGGAACACTTTTAAAATGATCTAAATCAATATTAAAAAGTAGTCAGCTACCAGCTGGGCGAGGTGGCTCACACCTGTAATCCCAGCACTTTGGGAGGCCGAGGTGGGAGGATCACCTGAGGTCGGGAGTTCGAGACCAGCCTGAAAAACATGGAGAAACCCTGTCTCTACTGAAAATACAAAATTAGCCGGGCGTGGTGGTGCATGCCTGTAATCCTAGCTACTCAGGAGGCTGAGGCAAGAGAATCACTTGAACCTGGGAGGCGGAGGTTGCAGTGAGCCGAGATCATGCCACTACACTCCAGCCTGGGAAACAAGAGCGAAACTCTGTCTCAAAATAAATAAATAAATAAACAAATAAACAAACAAACAAATAATAAAATAAAATAAAATAAAGGTAGTCGGCTACCAACTTTCTAGCCCTCTTTGACTGGATGAATGCAATTCTCATTGCTCTTTTCCTTCTAATAAGATCTTTGTTCCCTTTGGTTTGGCTTTTTTTGACCTTGTACCTGAATAAATATGTTTGATAACTTGGTGGCTATCTTGGGTTGCATGGCCTGATTTTCTAGTATTTGATATTTTTCTAGTTATTTTTGAACTTTCCACAGAAGTGGTTTTCAACTAGGGGTGATTTTGCTTCCCATGGTACATTTGGCAGCGCCTGGAGACATTTTTGGTTATCACAACTGAGGGGTGGGGAGTGCTACTGGCATCTGGTGAGTAGAGGCCAGGCACACTGCTAAGCATCCTACACTGCACAGGACAGTCTCCCTCCCGCAAAAGATTATCCAGACCAAAATGCCAGTGGTGCCAAGACTGATAAACTCTGCTCTAGAGACTTATACATTTGTTCAACCTGGATGTTTAAAAAACTGACTTTACAAATAAATGTCACTGTGGTTCAGCCTGTGGATCACTTAGCTTCAGGGAGAGGTACTACTAAAGGAGATAAAACCTGCGAAATGTGAGAAATCATCTAGTCCAACTTCCTTATTTAATAGAAGTCAGAGGCCAAGGCCTAGAAAGGGGAAATACTTATGGACAATAGCTTTTACTCACAACAGGGGCTGGCAAACTATGGCACACAAGCCAAATCTTGCCTGCCACCTGTTTTTGGAAATAAAGTTTTTATTGGAAGACAGACATGCCCATTCAGTTACATACTTTTAAAATTTTAATTATTTTTTTCATTTACCTACTTTTTTAAATTAAAAAATTTTTTTTAAGACACAGGGTTTTGCTATGTTGCCCAGGTTGGCCTCCACTCTGCTGCCTCCCAAGTACCTGCGACTATGGGTGCATGCCGGCTTATTTAGATATTTTATATGGCTACCTCACGCTAAGCACACTTCTATGGCAAAGTTGAATAAACAGAGAGTGAATGATCTCCAAGCCTAAAATATTTGCTGTCTGGCCCCTTACAGAAAAAGTCTCCCAATACCTGAAGAAAAAGGAAAACGGCACAGTTGCTTCCCTTGATGTCACATCCAGAGTTCAGAGATGTTCTTCAAGCATCTCTTATTTCTCTTGATGTTCATTAATAGACCTTTTGTGCCTAAGTTTACCTGAATTTGTTGAACTAATCTTTTCTATTTTCACATGGCAGCATCATGTGAAAATTACCATTAACCACTAACACTTTAGTGTTAATACCATCTTGCCTCTTTACCCATTTTAAGGTTCAAAAGAATGTTCCTTCATTCCAGTATACCAGCATTTGATGAATAAATTCTGTTACACCTATCATGATTTAATAGACTGATCATATCTCCCTCTTTGATGAATGACTCCTAAATTTACTATATGTAACTCTATCTTTTTACCACTTTAATACTGCTGATTAGTCTGAGAGGGCTTAGGACATACACATAATGAGTTATAGGATTAACTTAATAGTTTCTTCATTTCTTACGTCAGCCTGTCTTGAAGTCTTAGCTAGTCAATTTTTAAGTCTTTCAAAAGTCTGCCATCTGACTTTTGAAAGGTAACTTTCTGACTTTTGGAGGTAACTGAGGGTTCGTATTCACTCCTATGGAGCCTCTTTTGACCTGCTTACCAATACCACACCCAATGTGCCCCCATATAACTGCTCCCTCTCCCTCCCCTACTCATGTTAGTCAAGAATAGGTCAAAACTATAGGGGTGCTGAGGTGAGGATCTACCATAACCTCAAAGATGCAAAGAACATGTCAGCATACTGGAGTTGACAGGGTCTCAAGAGAACTTCAAATCCAAAAGCTGTCACTATCTAGTTGGAGAGCCAGATATGTATAAGCAAGCAAAGGGCAGAGCCAGGGCTGGAACCCAGACTGCCCTGCCAGTGCTCTTCCATGACACTGCACTGAGAATAGTCTGGGTTGTTTTTCTCAATGCAGCCAATGCAAGGTTGAATGTTTGTTCACAGAGTAATCTATTTAACCAGTCCCCTATTTTTAAAATCAGCTCCTTAAATTGTAACCAAAAAAGGTCACCATTTTCTTGAGGTTAATATTATTTTCCTTAAAAATATTTTGATCCTAAAAAAATTATTTTTGATCCTAAAATCTTTCCTCTGGTAGCTGCTCTCAATAACTAGTTCCCTGCCCTACTCTCGCGATTAAATTCCTGAATATTTGACAATTAGTACTCCCAAGCTGGTAGATGTCAGCTCCAATATATTACTAGGTGGGGGTGTGTTAGGATGGATTCAGGAAGAGGGAATTCCAGGTAGTACAAGCCCTTTGATCCACTGTTGGGAGCATATGAACTGTGGGCAAACCTGGCACAAAAACAGAGTAAATCAAAGTTGAGGGAACCCTATGTGATCCTTCATGCCACACTGGTTTTCCTTTTGGTGGGGAAGACCCTTTGGGTGCACCTGGGAAGTAGACTCTGCTGGTCCAACCTCTAGCCCAGAAGTTCGCTCTGCAATTTATTTTCTGCCACTTCAGTGACCCTTTTCTATTGATTTTTAAAATAGGAAACTGGTTAAATAGATTAATCTATGAACAAACATTCAACCTTGCTTTGGGTGCATTCAGAAGAGAGAAATCCAAATAGTCCATTGCAATACAGTGAGACCAGACTATTCTCACAACGCAGTGTCATGGAAGAGCACTGGTAGGGCAGTCCGGGTTCTAGCCCTGGCTCTGCCCTTTGCTTGCTACGTATATCTGGCTGTCCAATTTGATTTGGCTTTTGGATTTGAAAAAAATGGTTCATTCCTCCATTTGTCCACTTGTTTCAATCCTTTCTCTGTCCACTGCCCTTTTACTACTGACTACTCCAGCTCTCTCTCATTTTCATCAATGATAAAGATGATGACAACAAAACACTGATCATATGAATCTTGTAAAAAAAAATTACAGGTTTGAATTTTGGATGATTTAGTTACTTTTGGACAAAGACCCAAAAGAGCACATTTTATTAACTGTTATGTTAATGTTTTATATGCCCAGTACTTTCTACTTAACTATGCTATTACTTAAAAGTAAAGGGGCTACTTTGTTTCTAAGGCCTCAATAAATAAAAATCTGTTTCCTTTTCACAGATGGGTTGAAATTTCTTCCAGTTTAAAGTTTCACATTTCATAGAAGAAATCCAGCTTATGAAATGCTAAGTAGGAGAGGTTAAATATAACTGTTCTTTAAAAACATAAATGTTTTTAAACCTCTACAAGGTGTTTTTTCCTTGTGGATACCATGAATGTCAAAAAGTATAGATGACTAGAATATGTAAGGAGTTTAATGTCATGACTTGGAAATATCACTAAACAAGTGATTATTAAATTTCTTCAGCCTTCCAAATAATGTGTCATTTCAACAGATATGCAAATAAAAATGAACACTCAAAACAGAAATGAGCTTTATAGGTCTAGACTGCTCAGAAAAATTTGCTCATTATCACCACAGGGCACCCAACCAGCTGGAAGCAAATTCACTGGCAAGTAACATCTGCAGAGAAACACAAGGTCTAGAAGACAGCCTAGCACAGAGTATGTGCTTGTGGTGAACTGACTACAGTAATGGCCCCAATTTTTCACATTTCCTTATATCTATTTATTGTACAGTAACTCTGGCCTTAGCCATGTGACTTGCCTTGCTTTGGCCTAGTGGACACTAGCAAGCTTGGAGTAAGCAGTTGCCCGAACTACACTTGCATGTTTCCACTTTCTCTCTTGGACTCCTGCCACCACCACGTGAACATGCCTGAGCTAGTCTGCTAAAGGGAGGGGAAAACATGGAGAAGATCTGAGCTGACTTAGCCAAGGGCTTCCTAAAGCAGGCAGCCCCAGGCTGACCTGCCATCTGATTGTAGACAGATGAGTGTGCCCAGCTGGAATCAGCTAAGCCTGGCCAGAGCAGAACTGCCTAGTAAGCCCTTAGATTTGTGAGAAATAATAAATTGTTACTGTTTTAAGCTATGGAGTTTTGGGATGGTTTACTATACAACATTATTGGGATAATAGATAGTACTCAGAATGAAAACATTCTCCACAGTACAGTAGAAAATGAGCACTTTCTCCATGCATTCCAAGAGTGTAAGACATTTACACAGAGTTTCCACGTAAAGCTGATATACTGTGTTACAAAGAACCTTGAATAATTCTGTTCTCCAGAGTGGGAAAAAGTCTATAAAATTTTTCTATCTATAAAAGTACTGACTGTAGCACTTTGTTACAGGCAACAGCTTTCTGCTCATCCTTTAAGTCTTACCTGCTCTGTGAAAGACTTCCCCATTTCCCTAGGCAGGGTTTTTTCCTCCAGGCTCCAATACATTCTAGCAATGTACTTGTCTCACTGTATTGTAATGGACTATTTGGATTTCTCTCTTCCCATGGACTATGAGCTTCTTGCAGACTAAATCCTTTCATTTTTGTACCCTGAGAACAATGCCTGATACATATTAAATATATTGGTTCAGTGTGTATCAGTTCAATGAATGTTAAGTGAATGAATGACAGAGACAAAGATAATTATATGAACTCTGTCCCAGGAACTCAGGGATTAGTTTAAAAAGAGACATGTAAACATAGTTATGCTATAGAGCGACAAATGCTATAATAAAGCATGCAAAGGGCTTGGAAGTAGTGATCAATTTTATGTGTGTGGAGAGAAGATGAATGGG
Organism: Homo sapiens; assembly: GCF_000001405.40. NCBI lineage: Eukaryota > Metazoa > Chordata > Mammalia > Primates > Hominidae > Homo > Homo sapiens. The sequence goes on along the minus strand of NC_000009.12, from coordinate 36,074,137 downwards.
CAGGAAAGGCTTTAAAGTGGTACCATTTAAACCAGGATTTAAGGCAAAGGTTACTCTAGTTCAATAGAGGTAATGATGTTCTGGAACCAGCTTTTTTTGTGGGGGGTGGTTGTGGAGAAAATCTGGATTTGCAGTATTTGCTGATGTTCACGCTGCAAATACCTCCACCCATGGCTGATTTTAAGTTACAAGCTGGCTTGCAAAATCCCTGAATATTTAACAAGCAGTACTCCCTAGCTGGTAGGGAGCTGGTATTGCCAGCTCCAATATACTATACTTTTTGTTCCAAGATTCAGAAGAAGGAATTCCAGGTGGAACAAACAATTTGTACAACTACAACTAACAAATAAAACAACAGGGTCAATCTGGGAAACTATAAGTAGCATGCTGCTTAAATGTAACAGAGAGAAGAACCAGGAGCTAGACTGAGAAAAGCTTGGGATACTGGGCTGAGGAGCATGAGCTGTGTTCTACAGGGAAGCAACTGAAGGGTTTAAGGAAGGTAGTGACATGGATCAAATTTGGTCTTTAAAGAGATTAATCTAGAAGTGGATATAGTAGATAAGAGGAGAAATTAGACACAGGAAAACTAGTTTGGCAGCTATTATAGGTATCCAGAAAAGTGGCAGAAAGACCTAAGCTAAGGCAATACCTGAGGATCTGAAAGGGAGACTGATTTAAGGTACATTTAGAAGGCAACTCTTTAGGCTTGAGAGACAGTAATTTGCAGGAGGTGATGAGAAAGAGGAAAGAGTAGACAATACCTCTCAGGCATTTAAGTTGATGTGCCTGGAAGGATCATATTGGTACAACCAAACAAGAAATGCAAGAAAAATCATAAGTTTTGTTTTGGGATGGATGTGTGTGTGTGTGTGTGTGTGTGTGTGTGTGTGTGTCTGTGTGTGTCTGTGTGTGTCTGTGTGTTGCTGTTTAGGGGTGGAAGGGAGGGAAGGGGAGGCAGAAAAGGTAGAGAAAGTAATAATCAATTTGGTTGATTTAAAATCAATCAATTTTGGTTTGATTGTTTGTTGTTCCAAGGGAACATCAAAAGTACATGTATCCAATAGTGTTCAGGAGCTCAAAAAAAAAAAGGTTAGCAATGAAGATTCTGAAGTTGTCAGCATATAAGAACAATTAAATCTATGGGAGATGAGATTGCTTAAGGGGAAAACCTTGGCCACTTAAGATGAGACCAGGTCGCAATCTAATCTGATTTGATCAAATTCCCTTTTGGAATCATCTCGTTCAGGTGACTTCTGAGAAGAATGAACTGGAAAAGGAAATACACTAGCAGCAAGGAGACTAAATAGGAGTTACTCCCTTCCCCCAACTACAAAACAAATACGACAAACCAAAACAACATACAAAGTTTAATACTATCTTAAGCCAGTACTGCAGGACCTAATAGGTTTCGCTCTTTTTGGAGCTCATCAGCTGCAGGTAACGGCTCAAATCTACTGTGATACAGTATACCGGTACAGCATTTTACCATTTATAAAGCCTCTCATTCATAGTCTTCTATTTACTATATCCTGGCAATTCTTGAAGTTGCCTCAGCATAAACTAAAAGATGCTTTACTTTTAGGTCCTGAGGGCTTTGCTGGGGCAAAGTATCACACGATTCCTTTTGTTAAAATCCCTAAAAGCTGACTGGGCAAGGAACAAAACTGTCCATAGCCTAGGCTGTGATCTGCCACAACTAGATGGTCTCCTCTATTCTTAGAACCACTGCAGTACAGATCCAATCACACTGAAGCTTAGGAGGCTTCTAGCTGTCCAGAGAATCCTGTTGGTCCTGATATCCCTGCTCCTCTTATCTCTAAATTGGGCTAATTTTTCATCCCTTTTCCTTTATGCTTCTGGTAGTAAATCTAGAACCAAAGTTAATTTGAAAGAAAAAGAAACAAAATAAAATTAATAGATACACAGAAATCTTTAAGCAGAACATTTTATTGTGACATTTCCTGAGGAAACAGTATACAGTCTGGGTAGACATACATAAATATACACCAAACACTGGCATCCAGGGGCAGAACAAAGGGTATAGTAAACTACCATTTGTGGTAAAGGAGGGTAGAGGAGGACTATACATATATATATTTACTTTTATATGCAGAAAATATCTCAAATATCTCTAGTAACTTTAGGAACTGGATGGCTGTGGGAAACATAATTCATTGTATACCATTTTGAATTTTGAACAATGTGAAAATCCCAAAATTAAAATTTAACACATACCTGCACCATTCTATACATTTAGCTGTGTACTGATAGGTGGGACTAACAGAAGACAGAATCCTCAACAGTCTTAATTTTAGCATTCTCACAGAACCAGAGCCCCATGGCAGAACAATATTTTAGTTGTATTGGCAACTGTTTAGTTTAAAACTTAACTGCCTTAAGACTAAAAAAAAGTTAGTCCTCACAAAAATACCCCCTACTAACTTTCCTTCATAGTTTCTCACCTTCCTTAATGATATAACATCAAAAAAGTGTATTGAAGAAAGCTAGCAAAGAAAGGAGAGACATGAAAATGACATTTCTGAAAATATAAAGAAAAGCTTAGAGAAGAATCTGTGAAAGAAGGAAGAAACAAGTAAAAAAATATAAAACGTATGATGGCAAATTTGTAGCATTGTACTTCAGTGGCTCACACAGCAAATGTAAAGGCATTTATATTTATGGCCATTATGTTAAGAGAATGGCAGGTAAGGTCTGCCATTAAAAGTATAAAATGGATTTACAAACTTCAAACTAAAATTTATCTCATCACTTTATAGCCATTGCCAGTCTCTGGGAATTCATCAGCCTCATATTACCTTAATGAAGCTTATTGTGACATTCAAGAAAGAAAATTAACCATCAACAACCAAAAAATTTTTTAAATCATAATTTTGGTGGCTAGAAGAAAATGTTCACAGCCAACCTGTGAACGAAGACTATGCAAAAAGAATCTACACTGTATTTCACACCCCCTGGAAAACATGAACTCATTTTTCCTTTAGTTCTAATCAGCCAATGTGCACAAGTATGGCTATTCCTATGGTTTACAGCCAGCATCTGTTCTGACTGTTGGTGCCTATGTAACTACAGCTGCTGAATACTTTGAATATCATCTCTGGTTGTAGCTTCACAACACATTCATGAACCCCATGTGGCCTAACCAATACTTTTAGGTAGGCCAAAGGACAAAGCCTGTGAAAAGGCAGAGAACCTAGAACTGAGCAAGTCCATGATACTTGAACATGCCCATAAAGGAGTTATCAAGCTAATGGTTGATTTGGATAGCTCCTACAGGCCAGGGTCTGGTGACCCCACAATCAAAACAAGTGTGATTCTCAAAAGAAGTACTCTTAAGTAGTGAAGGATATATTATTTCTTAGGTATTCATCAGAATAAGAGAGCTACAGAGTTGGAAGAGAGATCATCAAATCTCCTGTCTGTTGCAAAAATCCCCTTCACATGATGAATCCAGTAAGTCTTTACTTGAACATTTCCAGTGATAGGAAGTTATCTGTTTTTGGAATATCT